>NC_000006.12:163555638-163707153 GCF_000001405.40 Homo sapiens
TGGACAGATGATTTTGACTAATGCAAAACATTTGCAAGCAAGGTTGCTCATGTAAACTGTTCAATGCCCTGAATGCTGGAGAATTTGGGCCTTTGTGATAGGCAGTGGTTCGAATTATTTTTTTAGTTGACATAGTTTTAATGATTTGGAAATACACATTTGTTTCAGCTCTCTGGTGATTACTTTGTTGTAGTTTTTTTTTAAAAGTATATAGATCTAAAAATACTAAATAAACATGATTTTCTTACTTTCTAACATGTGGTCTGATGAATTCAAAAGATACTTCCACTTAAAGGCATCATAAGACTGGAGAAGGTATAATGTAATGGTTAAACATGAGGACTTTGAATCAGGTATTCTGGGTTGGAAGCCAGGTTTGCAATGTGAACTTTTGTGGCTTTGGATAAGCTGCCTACCCTGCCTGAGCCTCAGGGATAATGCACTGCCAATACCACACATTTGTTAGGAAGCGTAAATGATTGGATAATGAAGATCTAGTGTCTAAGTCTAGAAAAGTTGAACAATGTATAAATTACATTAAACGTGACCTGTTTGTATCCTTTTAACATAGCTGTTAAACATAGTTGATGATGGCTGGGCACAGTGGCTCACGCCTGTAGTCCCAGCACTTTGGGAGGCCGAGGCGGGTAGATCACCTGAGGTCAGGAGTTCGAGACCAGCCTGACCAACATGGTGAAACCGCATCTCTACTAAATACAAAAAATTAGCTGGGCGTAGTGACATATGCCTGTAATCCCAGCTACTTGGGAGGCTGAGGCAGGAGAATCCCAGGAGGCGAAGTTGCAGTGAGCTGAGATTGCACCATTGCACTCCAGCCTGGGCAACAAAAGCAAAATTCCACCTCAAAAAAAAAAAAAAAAAAAAACAACAAACAACAGAAAAGGCATAGTTGATGACATATCTATATCTTAATATGCATAAATTAAAATATATATATTTATACATACCCATAATTGGTCATCCTTAATTGCAAGCCTCCAGAAGTTCAGAAAACTGTGTTTATAGTTGCTTCACCCCACTTAGTGTGAGTATTTTTCTGTTTGTTACGGACTGGATTATGGGCGTATCCCCCAGACTCTGCTGGGTGTTATAGAATCTGTGGTGTATTATCTTTCTATAAATCTGAAAAACTCTGAAATTCTCAAGGCACTTCCCCGATACCACAGGTTTTAGCTATTAGCAGGAGTGTGTTCTATTTTTGAGCTTTTACATTTCAAAAGTAAAGACATTCTTTGTTGTGCTTTAATAATCTTTCCATAATATTTTCCATACAAATACAAGGGAAATATTCATCTGCCCTATGACCCAGCAACTCTACTCATAGGTATTTATCCAAGATAAATGAAAACTTATATTTGCAAGGAAGCCTTATATGAGAATTTTCAGAGTGGCTCTGTTCACATATCCAAAAAGTGGAAACAATCAAATGTCTGTAGCAGAAGAATAGATAAATAACATACTACTCAGCCATTAAAACAGATGAACTACAGCGACATGCAGCAATATGGATGAGTCTGACAGCTGTCATACTGAGGGAAAGAAATTGAACACAAAATATTATATATGCCTTCATTATCCGAAAATCTAGTCTAGGCAAGTTAAATCAGATGGATGGTTAGGGCTTGAGGTACAAGGAGACTTTCTGGGTTTGTGGAAATGTCCTGTGTCTTCAATGGAGTACTATTTAGCCATAAAAAAGAATAAGATCCTGTCATTTGCAACAACATGGATGAAACTGGAGGTCATTATGTTAAGTGAAATAAGTCAGGCACAGAAAGAATCTTCACATGTTCTCACTTTTTTGTGGGAGCTAAAAAAATTAAGTCAATTGAACTTATGGAGATAGAGTGTGGAGCGATGGTTCCAGAGGCTGGGAAGAGTGGTTGGGAGGGCACAGTGGGAATGGTTGACGGGTACGATAATATAGTTAGAATGAGTAAGATCTAGTGTTCAATAGCACAACAGGGTGACTACAGTCAACAATAATTTATCGTACATTTAAGAATAATTGGATTGTTTATAATACAAAGAAAGGATAAATGCTTGAGTTGATGGGTACTCCATTTACCCTGATGTGATTAATATGCATTATATGCCTGTATCAAAATATCACATGTACTTTATATATACATACACCTACTGTGTGCCCACAAAAACTTAAAAAAAAAAAAAGAAATATCGTGACTGGATATTGCACTTAAGATCTTGGGAGTCCACTGCATGTGAATTTTGCTTCCATTTTTTAAATGATTCTTGAATATAGGGCAAATACTTAGGAAACCAGAAGCTATGAGATTGCGGATAATCACTTGAGTTCAGTATTACAAAATATGATTTTAATGACCCATTTTACAAATGTAAAAGTTAGTGTTCTGTCTCTGTAGAGTTGCTCATTCCCGATCAAGGTTCTGCAGGATACTTTGTGAACTATCTGGAGTTGACATGTACAACTTCAGGATGCCCTGTTTGATCAGTTGTAATTTTTGAGAAAAAAAGAGGTCAGAAAAACTGGTCTGAAGACTGGCTCATAGAAGCTCTAGAGCCTCTAGACTGTAGAAGAAACTTAGTTTTCTCATCTGAACTTATATTTGAAAAAGAGGTGATATATACCTTCAACAGTGTTTAGGCAGGTACGTACTACCAAATCTCATTGTCAAAACCAGGACAGTAACATTGAAATAACCACTTCGATGTGAAAGTAATTCTATAATTAACCCTGTTGTCTCTTCTTTTTTTTTCTTTTTCTTTTTTTTTTTTTTTGAGACAGTCTCGCCCTGTTGCCTAGGCTGGAGTGCAACGGCGCGATGTCGACTCACTGCAACCTCCGCCTTCCAAGTTCAAGCGATTCTCTTTCCTCAGCCTCCTAAGTAGCTGGGATTACAGGCACCTGCCACCACGCCCAGCTAATTTTTGTATTTTTAGTAGAGACAGAGTTTCACCATGTTGGCCAGGCTGGTCTCGAACTCCTAATCTTCATGATCTGCCCACCTCAGCCTCCCAAAGTGTTGGGATTACAGGCGTGAGCCACCACACCCGGCCAGTGAACCCTGTTGTCTCTTAAGACACACAAGATCATGCCCTGTGAATACAGAGTGGAGGGGAGTGGTCAGGACATGAGGGTGAAGCCCATCCTGGACTGAGACCACCTAGAATCAAATTCCAGCTCTGCCAACTAAATCCTGTGCATTTCTGGGAGGCATTAGTGTACCCTGCCAAAATGTGGCTGTGATCTGGTGTAACATACCATCACCTCCAGCAACACCATATGGCAGACTACACCAGGATCTCCTCCTATGCCACTCTTATTTTTATTCTCTTAGGGTGATCTCTCCTGTTTTCATTATCCTGCACCCTGCACATTACACAAGTGTGCACACACAGTGGTAATCACACACATTTCTTCCATCTTTTTTCTCTGTGGTTTTCTCCCTTGTTTGACACTCCATTGCCAAATAATGAATAGCTATTTTGCTATCCAAAAGGAGCAGTTCAGTGCCAACATGTTTTCAAGCACCTGCCCTTCTGCAGGAAACTCGTCTTTCGTCTTTATTTCCTCTTTGTTGGAAGTAAATTTGCCCTCTTATTTGCTGACATTTTCAAACTTGTACCACTTCTTTCTCGCTATGGTAGATGACTGGAGGTAAACCTACTGCTCTTCTTTTTCTTTTTTTATGTAGAGTATAATTTATAATACTTTTGGTATTCCATTTTTATATATAAATTTAAATTTGAAACTTTTGATAAGTTTTAATTTTCAAATGACTAGTTTTTAGCAAATAAGTTGAAGTTTTATTATAATGGATTTGATTCTTCTTTTCCAATAGTAGCTTACTTATTTCGTTTTTAACAAATAATTTCTGTGTCTTTCTAAGATCATACTTACTTTTTGTTCATCTTTGTACAAGTTGATAGGAGTCAAATTCTACAGGCATGCCAGTATCCACTCCCTGTAATCTTCTGCAAAGTAGGTTTTTAAAAAGTTGGCAGTAGCACATCAAAACATTGTCTTTATGTTTCACTCATATTTTTCTTTAATTCTTGTGATTTACTAAAAGCTCACTGAACAGTTCTGTTTACTATATATTATAGTATACCATTCACCATTGTAATGCCAAAAACAGAATTTTGTGTGTCATTACAGCTATAATAGAAAGGAGCACTGAGAAGCCTGTGTCCTGGTCGTCCTTCCCGTTTTATGAATCAGAGAGGAACAAGACTATGTCAGAAAATTGTTGCATTGTGTTACTTTCATTGTAAATATCACAAAGTCATGTAAAGTTACTGGGATTCGATGATACATAAAAGTGGGGGGCAGTTAGTTCTATCTCTACACAGACTTTGATAGATGGACCCTCATCTACTGCTTGCTTTGACTGTGGCTAAAGTTTATGTTGGACTGAGACATTTGGGATTTGGAAATAAAGTTAAAGACTTCTCATACCAGTCACTTATAAGTTCTAGTAAGTAACTTGGGGGTGGCCGTGGGAACATGGGGTTAGGCAGTGGTAACAAAGAAATAAGCCCTATTCTCATGGAGCTTACTTTGGGAGTGGTGATACTCAACAGACTGTAATTTGAAGTAGAAGCAATTAACTTTGTCGATAGGTTCTTGGAGATACAACTTTAAACAAAATGAGTATATTGCAGCCTCTTTTTTCATCAATGTTATAATGAAACCATGTTGAAAGCAGTGGCATTATTTGAGGACCTGCTGTCTGTCGTTTCACTTAAAGTTAGTTTTAAAGAATGTATTGACCACATTAAGTGAGGATCTACTGTAATCTAGGGATGGCCCCTGGAGAAGGAAGGTAGCATTTAGGTTGAAGTTTGTGGGGATGGGGATAGGTAGGATTTGGAAAGAGAGAGGGGCAGAGAGTGCGCAGGGGAGCACTTAGGATGGAGGAAGTGGGAATATGCACAGAGATGAATGGTGGAGAGCAATCTGGTTTGACTTAAGATGTTACTTACATACGTGTGTAAAGTAGTAGGTTAATGGGCTTAACTTGAGAGGATATTTTGGGACCAGATTATAGGCAACTAAAGTTTTTTATATTTTTAGATAGTAAGAAACCATGAAAGTGTTTTGAGACAGAATGTTGAGAAACATGATGAAAATTGTGATTTGGGCAATTAATCTGGCCTTTGTGTAGAGATTGATTGGAGAACAGACACCATTAGCAACATGTTTTAGTAGTTTGGGTGCTATGCCAAAAACAACTGGAACAGTAAATGGAAAGAGTGGGACCAATTCAAGGTAAATGGGGTGGCCAAACATTTTGATGATTAGAGACTATCCTGATTTAGGTTTGAAGCATGGTTATTATTAGTGCCCATTTTTGCTTTTAAAAGTTTTCTGCTTTGGACAATAAATCATATGGTGACCCTAAAGATAGATTGCTGTAGCATTGATAGCACTTGCTAATTAGATTGAAAGGAGACAGGGATGGTGGTGTAAGAGAGCAGAATATACGGTTTTTTAGAAGTTATTATTTCACTGAGTTTTCATATTTTGAAGAATTAAGCATAAAATTTCCTTACCTAAATTCTGTAATCAAATCTTGTATGTTTAAAATTATTTGTGTGCACATGTGCACGCGCGTGTGTGTATGTGTGTGTTTAACGAACACATTTGAGTTTTGGAATATTCAGCAAAATGATAGTTGCTGGCTGGGTGCAGTGGCTCACACTTGTAAACTTAGCACTTTGGGAGGCTGAAGCAGGAGGATCACTTGAAGCCAGGAGTTTGAGACCAGCCTGGGCTACAAAACGAGACCTTGTCTCTACAAAAAATAAAAAAAATTAGCCAGGCATGGTGGCGCGTGCCTCTAGTCGCAGCTACTTCGGAGGCTGAGGTAGGAGGATGGCTCGAACCTAGGAATTCAAGGTGGCTGTGAGCTAGGATCATGCCACAGCACTCCAGCCTGGGTAACAGAGCAAGACCCTGTATCTAAAAACAATAAAATTAATTAAAGTAATTTTAAAATGATAGATGCTGAAGAGAATATGTTATGTTTAGTCTTATCTCACATTTTCATTCATTTCTATTTAAAAGTAAAGCTTTTTAGGGGAACTTTAATAAATCGGTGTAACTGACAAAAAATTTACAAATACAATATGCTGTATATCAACATGCCTTTACTGAGAAAACAGAGAAAGCAGGCTCCATTATGTTAGCACCTTTTGGTTCTTGATCTTTTTTTCCCCTTATTAAAACAGGTGACTGTAGTCACATGATACTTACTTTAAGGCTTGTGTGTAGATATAGCTATTATATTTGTGGACAGTCTCAAATGCTTTCATCTCATGTGTTTTCCATGTATAGGCAGAAGGAGAAGACAGCCTGAAGAAGATGCAGCTGATGGAGCTTGCGATTCTGAATGGCACCTACAGAGATGCCAACATTAAATCACGTAAGAATGAGCTCTGAGGCCCAGGGTTACTGCTGTCTGCGTTGTTTTGTCTACAGACTTTTTTCCTTTTGGCAACACAATAATAGTTCATACAAAGTGAACAGTTGAAATAACTGTTCTGTCACTTGATATGGGGCTGACAGTCCTATTTTTAATGCTTTCATGAATTGAGGACACTCTTGATTTTATTTTATGTCAGCATGTTGAAGTTTTAGGTTGATAAACTTACATTATTTTAACAAAATCACAATCTCTAAATTCAAGTGTTTAAGAAATTTTCTGTTTGGTTAACTACAGATGTAGGGCTTGCAGCTTATCTTGTTAAATTTATGCAAAAGACAACATATTGAAAGCTTATTTTGAAAAAGTGAATTTGAAGTGTATCTGACTGAAATGACCCTCTGTTGAGTTCTGTCCTTTCACTTTGCTTGCATGTTTTCCCTCTAGTATTTTTCCCTGTTGATTTCATATGTGAGTTCACAGAGATCAGTGGGTGATAACTCTTTTTCCGTCCTATTTTTGTTTTTATGCGTATCTATGCATGTTTTTATAAGCCGTAAGAGGATAGCTTTTTTATGTTTAAAATGAAATAATGTGAAATTTATATTTTGAAACAATTTAAGATTCATACATGTCATTTATATGAACATACCATGTTTAAATTACTGATTATTTAAAACACATAGAATTTTTAAGTTCTAGCCAGATTTAGAAGATGTAGGCAACCTCTAGTGGGTTTAGAAGTAGTTACTTTACAAATTGTTGACATTAATTTACTCATGAAAATGTGAGTATATCATTAATAGGAATTTAGAAGTAGGGCTTTTTAAGATTTTCTGTGACGTTGGTTCCTAAAGATGCAGGAAATGTACATATATACCTAGTGGTTACTTGACTAAATGCAATAAAAATTATTCTTTCTTTACTTTGAAACTAAAGCTGTACTTTAGAAATATACCAAAACTGAGTTTCTGTGGACTCCGGTTACAAATTATTTTTTAACATCTGTTAATGCAAGTGTTTCATTGTGCTTCTGCATGTACTTTAGTCTTATGAAATCTTAGATATATCAAATGTATGAACTAAATATAACCTATTTAATGGTGTCATTCATTTTTTTACAATGGCTTTTTAATTTTTGCACATTCTTAATCA
Organism: Homo sapiens; assembly: GCF_000001405.40. Classification (NCBI taxonomy): domain Eukaryota; kingdom Metazoa; phylum Chordata; class Mammalia; order Primates; family Hominidae; genus Homo; species Homo sapiens. The sequence continues at coordinate 163,563,225 of NC_000006.12, forward strand.
CATTGGGAAAGGGAAAGCTGTTTGCATTTGATTGGTGTGCTTTTGCATTTTTGTGTGATCAGCGCATGTACTAATGATTTCCTTTTATTTTTCTTCTTTCCTGCTTTTCCTTTCTTTTTCCTACTCCCTTCTCATTTTTCCGTATTTTATACTGCTGTCTCTATACTTCTTTCTAAATTTCTTTGCTTACTGTAGCAGCCCTTGCCTTTTCTCTTGCAGCAACAGCCCAGGCTGCTCCAAGGATCATTACTGGGCCTGCGCCGGTTCTCCCACCAGCTGCCCTGCGTACTCCTACGCCAGCTGGCCCTACCATAATGCCTTTGATCAGACAAATACAGACCGCTGTCATGCCAAACGGAACTCCTCACCCAACTGCTGCAATAGTTCCTCCAGGGCCCGAAGCTGGTTTAATCTATACACCCTATGAGTACCCCTACACATTGGCACCAGCTACATCAATCCTTGAGTATCCTATTGAACCTAGTGGTGTATTAGGTAAGTTCTTCTCCCCATGGGGTTAACAACATTCTCTTTATAAATATTTTTGCTCCCTCAGATTTTGAAATGATTTTATCAGTTTTAGAGAGGCAAGACAAGTTTGCATTAGGGAAGACCGAAAACTAAATTTTGTTTTATTTCAGCCTCTCATAAGGGTTCCCCTTTGAAATAATTGCACCTTAAATTTATTCAGATCCACTTTGGTAACTGAGGTTCAGTTTGGTTGGGTAAATCTGTTGTGTACATTTCAACAAATACTTTTACATTTGACATTACTGAGGTCATTCTGAGTTTTAGGTCCCACCCCATTGGCCCGTCACCTCCATCAGCTCCACTTCTCAAACTTTATTTGAGATTTATTTTATCTCACAGGTTTGTGTAATTGTTGGAAAATTTTTAAACTTCTAAGTGAAAGTAGTCTGAGCGCTTTATAAAATTCATATTATTGTGTGTGTTTTGTAATATTTGCGATCACTTAAAATATCAGATAAATACAGTCATGCATCGCTTAACAACGGGGATACAGTCTAAGAATTGCCTTGTCTGGCAGTTTCATCATTTGGTGTACATCATAGAGTGTACTTACACAGACATAGATGATATCGTTTACTACACACCTAGGCTGTGTGGTATAGCCATTATAATCTTATGGGACCACATAGTATAAGTGGTCCGTTGTTGACCAAAATGTTGTTATGCAGGCATGACTGTAGTTGTATTCTTAAGATTTTTCAGTTCTTGTGTTTTGGAGTCCTAGTCATATTAAACATGAGAGATACTCTTAATTTCAGTAGTACAGTATGGAATAGTTAAATAAATAGCAAATCACTGAATTCAGAATCTCACTTAAGGCAGAAATTAAAATCATAATATAAACGCTTGGTTTTACATGAACAAAAAGTGGTGTGCTCGAAAAAGACATTACTGATGCCTTTTTTTTATAGAGTGGATTGAAATGCCAGTCATGCCTGATATTTCAGCCCATTGACTTGCTGGATGAAGGACTAGAATACAGCAGCTGTTATAACACGACCAGTCAATGTGGAACAAACTGTTTCTGTGCAACCCCTTTGTTTTACCAGACAAAATTTGAATACTTTTTTTCCTGAATTGTATATGACCTTGGTGCTGCATGCATGCTGTTGACTTTTAGGACTTTGATCTTTTAAGGTTTTTTTTCCCCAGCATTAATATTGATTTATAAAGATTTGAAAATCTTTAATGAACTGGAGAACACTAAGATTTAAACTCGAAAATTCGTTGTTCAAGTAAAGAAAGCCATGATGCTCTGTATGTTATCTGTGTGTGTGCATGCACTCAGGTGCCCTTTGTTTCATGAACAAATACATTTCATTGTACATGTTTTCTGTTTAAATCATTGTATAAAGTAATTGCAGGTCAGAATTATACCACAGAACTGTTTATGAGAGGCTTGTGTCTGTTGCACATTTCTTGAAGCATTTTTAAAATAACATGTAACCTGTAACCTTGTTGTTTAAGTTTTCTTTTCTATTAATACTCTGTCCTGTGGTCCCGTGCATGCTCCTTTTCCCAGAACTCCTCTCTGCTGCACCCACAGCATCTGTTCCCGAGGAGTTATGACTCTTGACTTCCTGCAGGGCTGGGGCTCTTAGCCACCAGCTGCTGTTCCAGCACTTTCAGCGCAAGATCTCCCTGATTTTGCCACGTGGAATTGTACTTGTATATGATTACCTTATCTAAAATGAATAAGAGGTGATGGACCAGTTTACTGCTTAGAAATAGCAAGAGGCACTGCAGTAAAACTTGTTTCTCATTGTAAAGCTTCATGTCTTTTGTTTGTTGGAAAATTTTTACTTATAGAAACTTAATTATTAGACTGGTAAAATAAAGACCAAAATATGCAGATTTCTAATTGGCATTCATAAGGTGAATAATAATAAGTGCCCAATGAAAAAATCTATTATGGTTAATTTCATTTCTTGCTTTGCCACCTAAGCAGTAAAACATGATATTGACCACTTGGAGAACTCAGAAAATTATTTTAAATTTCTAAGTTATAATAAATTTGCACACAGATAACATGCATGCTATTTATGTCACATCTCACATTAAATTATTTTAAAATAAGCAGTGCCCTTCAAAACAGATGCAGACATGTGTGTTGGTAGTAGTGAGGAGATTGGTATTAGCATCAAGTCTTCATTGATGACTAATTTTTAATTCCCTTCCTTTTATCTTTAGGTATGGCTTTCCCAACGAAAGGCTAAGAATTCAAGAACGGTCTTAACTGAACCCTCATCAGATCTGAATTTAACAAATGCTTAGTCTCAGCAGCCTCCGGGGGAAAAAAGCTTAGCCTAGCAGTCAGTGACTTACTTGCACTTTTTGCACATAGATATAAAGTAAAATTATGTTATTAATTTGGTTTAGTCTGTAATATTACACAGTAATGGTAATTTATAAAGGAGTGTATAGTAGTATACTGACTGCTAAGTGTACTATACTGTTTGCTTTACTAATCACCTAATTCATTGCAGTTCATACTTATTGACTCAGAGTTTAAAACCACAATCTGTAGGCTTTAAGAATTGCTTTTAAACCTTTTTAAGTGATAAACTCTTGAAGTGGTCTTAAGGTTAGCAAATAATTGTCTGTATTAAACATGGCGTTATTTAAGTAGTCCTGCTGCAAGAAAGGCACTTCAGTGAATATGTGACTAGTAAAGCTTAAATATGTTTGGATCTAATAGAGCTCATGAAATACTGTAACTTGGGGATTGTAAATGAATGGATACAATAGGTTAAGGCCCAAGATGTTTGAAATGAATGCAATATTAATAGATGCATATATACATGACATATTGTGGTTAATTTTAAAACTACTGTGCCTTAACGTGTTTCTTAAACTTTTGTAGTAAATGAACATTTGAAATCCATTTTGATAAACCTGCTGTTAATGTTTTTTCCCCCCTTGTGAATGTTTTCTAACTTTGTCTTGGTAATTGCAATTTAACTAGGTGCGGTGGCTACTAAAGTTCGAAGGCACGATATGCGTGTCCATCCTTACCAAAGGATTGTGACCGCAGACCGAGGTTAGTTTAGTTCTGCAGTTCTTGTCTATAAGAAATGCGTTGGGTGTCCATAAAATTTGCAACACCACACCTGATGGAAAAATGTAATTGCTTACCTGCACACAGTTTTTTTTCCTTTTCTAAATTTGTTTGTGATCATTGACAGATTTAAGGGTTGGGTTTTTTGTTTTGGTTTGGTTTTTTCTCCCTTCATATTTTAACTTATTAAATCTTCTATTATTATGTACTATGATTTATTCCTACTAAAACATAAATTAGTCAATTTGGGGAGCTATTAAATTTTGATGTTGCCTCAGTTATTTTCATTAATAACTTTTGCTAAAATTTACCTTTTAAAAGTTCTGAAATTTGGGGTTGGTATTGCAAAATGAATTGAACGGATGGTGCTTTAATGAGAGAAGTAAAGGAATATATGCCTCCTGTGTACTTTTGGAGAAAACTGAAGATTTAGTTTCCATTTTTCTTTATAATAAAATATTTGAGCCACTGTATAAACATGAGGGTGCACATGTCAAGTACTTAGCTAAAATCAACAAAGTGAGGACTGTGAAGATAACTTTCATGTAGTTGGATTTTTTTATATAAATTAGAGCGTCAATTCCCTTTTATTCTTACATTCTCTTGCCAAAATGGATCCTTTGATTTTTGTCATTTGCTGCTAAAATATATTATCTGAAGGTAAACTGTCTCTTGAAGTTCTGTGGTGGTATGAGATCCAGCTGTGTGAATATAATTTTTGACTAACCTGTGACTGGAAAATAAGTCTTCATTTTTCTCCTTTACAACTTTTATAATTTGTGTCCTGTATATGCCCTTGGACCCTTTTATAAATTATTTTTGCTTATTGAGGAATGGTATTTTCGGTTTATTGACATTGAATTGTTTTCTAAGTTTTTCCATCACAAGATAGGAATATCAAGCATGGTAGTAAAAAAGGATTTTTTACAAGTTTCTATTATGGCACATTTGTTTCCTACAAATTAAATTGATCAAAGTCTCAAATATTAGTGGAGGAAAAAGTGCTGGATTTGTACTTCAATTGTACATCTTCTATGAATTTATGAAGGACCTACCTGCTTTATGTGATTACCTTGAGTACTGATGATAAATACTAGACACAGCTGTTGTCCACATCAGAAATAACATGCCTTTCCCAAAGACATTGTTAATATTTGTTTAGCATAATCCATAAAGAACGTTGAAGACTTTTAAACTAATGTATTCATCACTAACAGTGATTGTTCAGTGAACAAAATAGACCCCAGCTCCGTGGTCGTCTATGAGGATGGTATTCCTTGTAAGTGTTCTGTATGAGCACGTCTCATAGGGATGGGGAAGTTTTTTGGAAAGTCACTTGAGTTTTAAAGAAACTGGACAATTCCATGAATAATTTGAGGTTTTATTCATATTGCTAATGTCTACAATTGTTCTAAAGAGTATTTTAAAGTAGTTTTTTTCCCCCAGCTAATCTTTCCCTATGTATGCCCCCTTTTAGGAGATTTCTCACCATTTTGCTTTAACACAATAATTATTGGCCTACTTAATACTCCAGTGCCTTGAGATAGTTGGACATATTTTAGGAAGATTTTATTGTATTTGGAAAATTACGACACATTCCATGCATGGATCTTTTGTAGTTACGTGTTTTGATTAGTCCTGTCACTGTTTTTATTTAAAATGCAGTGTCAGCAAACCGAAATGCTCATTTCTTTTTTAGTAACAGAGTACTCGTATACTTATCACTGTATGCACTCATTGGGTCTAAGGGAGATGTCTGAAGTCCTTCACTTAAATTATTTTATGATACTACTGTTTTCTCTATTTTTGAGGTTAAAATTATTTTAAAAAAATATTTTGAAGAGAAGTTTATTAGTATAAGCATTCATTTAATGCAAAAAAACTCAGCCCTTGGACATATAACCATGTAATTCTATATGAACGTTTAGAGTACTACATGGTTGACCAATATCTAGTTCTTTACTAAAAGTAAACTCACCTCTTTATATATATTTCAAAACTGAATTTGAAGCCTATTAGAGACCAACTGACCTTTTAGTTGTAATGAACTGTATGGTCTTGCATGGTGACACACCTGTGTAGGAGGCCAAGACTTGGCAGAGGATGTAGTCTAGGTGTCCTGGTATATATAAATGGTCACTCACTTCGTTTATATATTCCACACTCAGAAAAGAAGTCAGAGTTTTTTCTGAGTAATACAAAAACCATCACTTACATAATTTGTATAAGAAACTTTAAACAGTTTTAATCAAAACTATGAGTAACATCAAAAATGCTTTAAGATTCTATATTTTGGAATACCTGTGAAGTAGTATGACTACATCATGTTAAATATTTATTTTCTTCTATGATTTTGGAGCAGCAATTTTTATTTTAAATAAAATTCCACTTTTAAGAAATTCAGGGAAGATTTGGTCACATTGAAGATACAGTATTTTTGTAGTATTTATAAACTGTTCTAAATGATAGACTATAGAAAACATTTTTGTCATATGAAGGTAAATCAGTCCATTATTTTGGATCATTTAAACTGAACATTACACCTTCTGGGCTTTGATTTATGAAGTGGCACAGAATCTAACTTTGCACTGAATATCTTTTCATTCACATCTCCTCTGCCTTAGTCACAATGGCAACAGTACAGAAAATTCTATCAAACCTCAGAATATAGTAGAAATAATTAAGCTGTTGAATGAGTCTTAAAAATTATACTACTGTTAAGTGGACCAAGTTTGGTGAAGCAGAATGTGACAAAGGTTGATTAAGGAAGGAACAACTCAAGGACATTGGGAATGATAACTTTTCCACTTGAGAACTACTTTATGTTTTACTGTAATTTTTAAAGTTTTTTTGTCCTTTTTGTTATTTTGCAAAAGAAAATAGTATTTACAGGTGGCTTCTTTTAAAATATAAAAATATAAAGCAGGAATGTATATGAAATGTCAGATTTTATTGTATTTGCAGAGTATTAGCTTTGAAATTGAATAAAGAAAGCTGTTTGTAGTTTTAAAATGCCTTATTGGTATCAATTAGAAATTTCTTCTATTTTTTGATGTACTTAGAGCTTTTTGAGTGTAGAATTTTAAATGGCAGGATTTTACAGTGTTTACATGCAAGTGCATTTTATAAGTGTTCTATATGTGTAAAATAGTATTTTCAACTGGAAAGTGTTGGCTAGTGCAAAAGGCCTGGCCATTTTCTGGTTCCCATGATGTTGCCTACACTGCTAGACTACAGTTTAGTATCGCTTTGTATCATGAGGCCAAGAAATTCCATGTTGTTTGTAAATAGAATAATTGAAAAAGCAATAAACATTTATTGAACAAAAGAAACCTTGTTTGGCCCAGAGTTTATGTTGAACCAAATGGTTCATAGAATTTTGAATTTCTTTAGATTCATTTCTGTTAATCATCAGTTATTAATAATCACATCCATCATTAATAGTTGCTTTAATGCTTGCATCTTAGAGAATACTAATGCTTAATAGCAGTCAGATACTGATAACTGCACTGACTGTTTAAAAATTCTGTATACCAAACCTATTCATTGTTGTTTTTCAATTTCCTTCATTGACTGCTACTAACTATTAGTTGTTAGTTGTATTTTATTTCTATTTTTTCTTGTTAACCAGTTTTTTTTTTTTTTTTGTGGGAGTGGGCTCTTCTTCATTTGTTCAAATCATGATACGAAATTGTCATGATTTTAATTGTATTCTGTAGATGGTGTCAATCAGTTTGTCAGAATTAAACATGCTTTTTTTTTTATTAGTTGTGATTAGTTTTTCATGTTGTCATTAAGCCGTCACTAGCTGAAACTAATCTCTTCTCTATCTTTTCTTTTCTTTTTTTTGTTTTGTTTTTTTTTGTTTCTAACCACCCAGCCGCCACCGGCAACTAACCTATGACCTTCTGACCTCTGAACTCTTCACCCAATGATGACCTGACCATGCCTGCCTGCTGATCAGTTAACTGGTAATCGCCTTTGCTTGCCTGTCGTCAGTGCAGCGAGCTGAGGCACTTGTCCGTTCGTCTTACCATCTAACCAAACAAAAGACAAAGAAATTGTTGTCCTCCAACTCAGCTTTTTTTTTTTTTTTTTCCTGTTTGGGTGAAAGTGGTTCTAGAAACTGCACTGAATAGTAGTAAAGCAATAAGGCCCAATTCATCCCACAGCACTGATCATCTTTTAATATCCCACCCTAAGCGAACGGTAAGAAGGCCTCTCTTAAGAAGGGGAGACAGATGGTCCTTAACTACTCAATGACAGAGGCAGTTACTGTGAGAGACTTCTAGGAATCTTTTTCTTCTCATAGCGAAGTCAAAGCTCTCTCTGAATGTACTGTGTGATGATGCATCATGCATGAACCTTCGGTCAGGGATATCATTGGTGAAGTGATTTCAAAAAGTATTCAAAATTTGATATGCTGTTTAGTCACTACAGTGCCCTCAAAGGGCAGAAGTTGCAGCCTTTTTTATATTGCCTGCCAAAATTTGAAGTATTAGAAGAAAGTGTGCCATGAGAGAAAAACTTAAGGAGTTTTGAAAAGTAATGCAAATAACAAAACTGCAACACTATTTTTAAAAAGATAAATATCTGAGTTAAAATTACTGAATCTTTATTTTACACCTAAAAAAATATGAGAACAAGGTACATGCATTATGTGTCACATTACTGGGCAAACTGTTCAAGTATTTTTTTTTAAACCTCCCTGTATAGAAAAAAATCATTAAGGATGTAAAAGCCATGCTTGCCTATTTGCTGTATACATGTAATGAAATTGTAGATAAAGTGTAGTGCATTGAAACAAATGAACAAAAAGTAGATACTTTTACTATACAAGGGTGCTGGTGCAGAAAAAAATATATATATTTTTGGAAATGTAGCATTTTATACTTTCAAGTGTTATAAAAAAAAAGAAAAAGAACAAAGAAACCCTTTATTTCATTAAATGATTTTTTCTGGTGGTTGTCAAGAAACAAAAGACCAAAAGAGCCTTTTTGTCTTTCTTTTTTATTTTTTAAGTATTGGAATAAGTCTAAAGAAAAGAAAGTGCCTTATTTTCCTTCATGGTCATTCAGTCAAGTGTCTCATAAAGATCAGCTCCTCCCTCAGAATACAAGTTAATGCATGTTACTCAGTCGCCCAGTATGTGAAAGAAGATATGAGGGAGACAAATGAGTTGATAGTTTGAATTATAGGATTTTTGCCACGTTACCTTGATGCAAATTTGCCAAATCTGATACTGTGAAAAGATTTGATAACTTTTCTAATGCCTGACTAGTAAGTTTTAAAACATCATTCTTTAAAAGAATAGTTTAATACTTTTGGTTATTCCAATCTTCAATGTTAACCCAAAGGATTCTGAGATAAAAATTATGTGTCATCTAAACTTCAGTTTACAGACAAAATTAGAGCTTTGTTTTATTTGGAGAAGGGGGATGCATTCATTTGATTTTGTTTTTTGTTTTTAATTAATTGAATATAATAGGATACCTAGCAAATGTTTTCACAAAAGTGAATCTTTGTGATTTTCATTCTAGAAAACAATGTTTTAAATCACCCAAATTTAATCACATGTCTTTATATCATACCAGATAACTGGTGTAGTGTATCCTTTTACTGTTTCAATAACCTCTGCCTCCCCCACCCCTTAACTTTAAAAGAATGTGAAAAACTAGCATCATAGTGCATATAAATACTCAACCACATTTCAGCTTAAGCTTCTAATTTCTCAAGAAGTTGAAACAGTTAGTTATGTAGTTGAAGCAATTTGTGTGCAAAGCCTACATCTAAACACTTGAGTGAATAATCATTAACTGCTCAGTACCAGACGTGGCAAATCTCAAGTGACAGTGGACCCCCCCCCCCGCCCAGCTTATCAACTCGTCCCCTCTTCCACACCTTCCCAGCATCACAGTCAGAGGTCAGCAGGAAGCTGAGTCATTACCTTCTTGGTGACCTCCCCCACCATCTTGTCTCACTTGGAAACCGTTGTCAGTTTATTTACTATGCAATAGACATTCATTGTTTTGTATCCAGCTAGCTTTGGTTTAATATGCCACTGCTTTGTCTTTCTGTTACACATACAGTTTTGATTTATTTACAATATATGCTGTGCCATTTTGATTTTTATATTGTTTGGTTGGTTGAATAAATTTGCGACACTCAAACACTTGAGGTGATAGTTGTTAAAAACAATACCAGTATTTGATCCAGTTTCATCTCAACTATGTTATACCTGGACATTTTAGATGTTTATCAAAGGTCTTTTATGGGGAAGAAAGTAAATGTATGAAATAATAAATGTGTGACATTTATAGGGAATGTTGGCTCTGAACAAACTTTTGAAAACTTGGTTGACAAAATTTTGGATCAACTGAAAAAAGCATGACTTTTGAAATCTCTGAATGCCTTGGTTCTCAGTATTATCATTCTTTATTGAATTTATTTCTTATTAAAATATGTAGTTTTTAAGACTTTTTTTCTGACAGTATTATGTAATTTTTTAGCGTGGGTAGATGGGAGTGTCGCTTGTATGTTATCGTACAGCTGACATGTATTTTTGTCTATTCTTTATTATCTTAGTTTCATGCTATGTATGTACCATAACCAACCTATTGCCTATGAGAAACATGTAAGATAATGTATTTACAGCCATTGTTACAAGTTTATAATGTATTTTTCTATCTTGTTTTATATGTATGTTATATAACATTCAAAAAGAATTTTTTTCTTGATTGAGAAAAGGATACAAAATGCAAAATCCACAATTTTGATAACTGAAAATTGCCAATTGTTTTGCAGTACTTTATTATATTGGGTGTCTTGTCTTTTTTGGGCTTTTAGTTAGCTAATGAATGAATACATTAGACACTTTTGGGTTTTAGTTGGGATTTTACATAGCTTGCATTTTAATTCTTTGGTTCTTTGCTGTTTCTATTAACCCACAGCATTATTTTAATAAATGTTATAATACCAACCTACTAACTCTGGACTTTGTCTGTTTATTAACCTTTATATGTTTAATTAAAATAAACAAATAAAGACAAAAGAATGTAAAGTCTTGAGTTACTGGACTAACCCTGAAGAACGTGACCACAGATAACATAGTGTGACTTGTTTTTATGTTGTTTGTCAGCTGACAGTTTTGCACACTACTGTTAAAATGGCTTTGGTTATTCTGGTCTTTTAGCTTGGGGGCCGGGGCGGGTGTGGGTGTAGGTGCAGTAGAGATGGGAACAAAGTAGCCTTTGTTTGAGGCATTCTTCTCTTGCCACTTGCCTTTCAGCATCTGCATTACTAATTCCACACCTTATTTTTCCTTCTCCAAAATAATCACTGTCTGCTCACAGCATCGAGTAAAAAGATACATTGTCATGGTATATACCTGGAGAAACCAGTTTGATTCTTTGTTGAACCATTTCTTTTAATTTCTGTAAATAAGTAATTTTATGGTCACATTGTAAAGCAGAGAAACTGTTGATATTTTACCTTTATTTAGATTTTTGTTTTAACTTGACCTTTTTCCTTTGGAAAGCGTTGAACTTGTTTAGCTAACTACTCCTATTAGGGGAGCTTAACTTGGGTAAAGTCAAAGGCCCACTGGCTGTTTCTCATGGTGGCCTGAAGCCCCGCTGCTTTCCAGTGAGGAAAAGAACCCTCAGCACGTTACTGAGCTTTCCTCAGGTATTTTTTTCTCTGTCACCTACTTTACAAATACAGTCAGACTAAAACATTAAACAAGAAGTTTAAGGGGGAATAACATTGGGATTTGAAAAGTTGTATGTGATTAATTTCTTGCATGCAAATCAATTTAAGATTTCTTAAATATCTTCATGCTTTTCTTGGCTGGAACTTGGGTAAATTAACCTGTAATTATGAATTATTTAGTTTAACTCAAGGTGCATTTTTATTTCACAGATTGATACTTGCTTTTTTCTGTGAAACAGTTCTCCTAGATACCAAAATCCTCAGGATGAATTTTTGCATTTGTAAATAACAATTTATCTTTGTAAATTACATTTTATTTATTTAGAGTTCTAAAATTGAGGGCTGAAATGAATGACATGTAATAGAAGACAAAACTGTACCAATACGCTGTTAACCAATCAGACTGTCCAGGTATTCTCATTTCATAAATATGTATACACACATATAAATACACAGAGTAGTGTTAGCTGATGTGAGTGATAACAGCGAATCACCATTGAGATGGTCATTTGGATCATGTAAACAAACCGTGTCATGTCTCTGATGGGAGCGGTGGGTAGTGTACTGTTAGGTGGACAGGTCTTTTAACATGCTACTATTTGTAAAAGTTTCCGTTGCCATAACAGTTCATGTAGTAGTCTGTGAAAATTCGAAGCTGTCTGTCAAGCTGCTAATATACAAGTTGTCATGGTACCATGTAACTTAAATTGATGAATTTCTATGCAATTTACTATTCTCTGAAGCCTATGAATGCAGCCTCATCTCATTTTCAGTTAAGGGTACTTTATGTATAATTATGTCATTGCTGCCTTTTATGTAGGAAATGTAAAAAAGTTTTAAAAGGCGAAAATAACATTACAGATTTCATTTTTATACAGGTTACAATATTAAACATGAAACTACCAAATTCCAAGAATAGTAAAATTCTAGAGTCAGTTGATTGATTGAAACTATTTGACAAAACAGTTGAAAGCTGAGCTTTCAGTCAAGAAGTTGGTGAAATTAATGTCCTTAAACTTTTCCTTTAGGCAAAATGTCAGGGAAAACTTAACATGAAAGTAGTTACTCCCATACGCACCAGTGCAGTAGCTCCAGGTGTAAGAGGTCACGAAGGCACCCTGCCCATAAAACCAGGATGTGCATACGTACACACAATCGGTGTCTGGTTATGGTTTTCTAAACACTACATAAGGATCTGAATTTTTTAGTGTGCCAAAAGCAAACGATAGGTTTAAATGAAATTGCTCACTACCAAATCAAGACTCTTCATATATATACGTGTGTGTATATATATATGTCATAACACTTTCACGTGTGACAGCCTAAGGTTTCTTTAGTTTTAGGATGGGGTGGGGTGGGAGTGGTTTTGCATGTTTGACCAGGATGTGATGCCTGTCTTTATTCCTTGATAAGAAGTAGCTGTTACAGCATTTCAAGCAAATTATTTTAGGTAGAATAGAACTTACTGCCAAATGATTATTTATTTAGCAAAAATTATTCTCCAACTTTTCGAATTCACAATTTTTCTAAGTGCATAGAGTAGTTTTTTACATTGTCACGAATTCCTTAATACCTTTATTTAAAATGGAAAAAATATGGACAATATTTTAGAAATATGTGCTACACATCTAATTTTATCTGTAGTTTAAGTGATCTAAATTGAGATGCCTTTGATATGAAGAGATTTACCAACATTATATGCACTCGTGCCTTCAATGTGGAATCAAACTGGTTAACCTCAGCACAGTCCTCTCGTTTCTGTGTTTCTGCTGCACTAATTGCCAGGGGGTGGGGGAGAAGGCGAATGAATTAATTCATAGTAGAAGGAGGCGATAGGTGCAGCAAAGGGCAGCCACAGTGTTGATTCCACATTATAATGTTGTTGCCTCTTCTTGGCAAAAGACACCACATTGTGGGAAGATCTCAGCTTCCAGGGTAAAAGTTAATTTATAACTTAAAAGTGCTATTAAGTTTTTATTACCAAATATATCTTTTATGGTTTATATTGTAGTGGTATGTATGAAACATTTAAAATTTTACTGTGGAAATTGTGTATATATATATATATAGTCGAAATAGGTGTTCACAGGTCACATGTGAACGGAGAACTGCATGACCGTACATGAAATGCAATAAACCAACTGGAAAAAGTGCATGTGCTTCATCCTCTCAAGCCAACTGCAGCTGGAAAGTGCTGCTTATCCTCCACCCCCAGAAAATGCATGTATCAATATGAGAATAAAGAACGCACACTTTCAATTTTATTGAGGCTTTCAACACTATTTAAAAGAAAATGTAAGAATTTGACATTCTGGAGTTATTATAACATTAGAAAATGAGCATAACATTCACTCTGATTTTAGCCATTAAGGGAGATTAGTAAACAGACTGCTACAGTGTTCCATAGTTGGACTGTGCATCCAAAACATTTTTTTATCTTTAATAAATGGTACAGTTTTTATGTAGTTTTCGAATGTAAGAAGAAAGGAATGCTGACCAAAACTTGATTTCATCAGCTTCATGAAAAGGACTAGTGTCATTAACCTGTTGAACAGAATTGGTTTATTAAAAAAATCATTTCCAGTAGTGTGAAACCTTTACGAGTCTTTAACATCTAAATGTTATGACTCCTTGTACCTTAAGTTTTCCAGTCTTTCTTATTTATATCATCTCCAAGTACCTCTGGCTCCTTTCCTCTTGCTCACCGGAACCTTAGTTTTCCTCAACAGAATGCTTTGTTAAAGTAGCCCACAGTTGCAGGATCCATAGCACCGTCGTGCAGACTAGCAGCCCAAAGGTGTGTTTGGTTTGGCTTATACGGTGTTTTGCTTTTTAAACTACTTGCCATAATTTAAAAGTGGCAACACTAGACTTAAAAAAAAAAAAGTCTGATTGCCCATATTAGATTTTTTTTTTAATTCTTCACAAAATCTGCTCTTCCTGAAAGATCAAAGTGTCTAGAAAGCCCAAACATGTATTCTTAACATAGTAGGCACCAGCTGAAACTGAGTAATTAAACGGTCCCCTGAAGCCAAGTATTCCCTGGTTAGTCGCCACCCCACCACTCCTTCCTGTCTCTAGTGTCACACTTGGGCTGTTGATTTTCTTACTCTTCTCTTGCTTTAATCCTTCCCCCCGGCTCTCTGGCTCCTGTGGATATCTGTGCTTGTTTCCTGGTCCAGGATGGTGATCTGACTTTCAAACCAGCTTCTCAAAAGGGGTGACATAAAATCAGTTTTGATGTTTTTCCTCCTGAAAAATCAGATGAATATTTTAGTCACTGTTACTCATGCACATTGTGTTCTTATGTTTACAGAAGTGCTTAAGTGAATGGAAGCACTAGACATTTGGATTTCCTTCCTAACGTAATTTTTAATGATTACCCCTTTTATACAGTAATTTGTGGTCTTTAGAAAGCAGTTAAACTAATTGACCATCTAATAGTTGTACTATACATATGTCTAAAATAATAGTCATGGTAAGTTTGGCATCATATCTTCCCCAAAAAATGTTTATTAAAATTAGATTATTCCAGTTTAATGCTATTTTGTGAACTGTATACCCTCTGAAAGCGCTTATTTTTACATGCTACACAACAGTTCCAATTTTAAGGAGTGTCTCCTAAAATTGGGATGAAAATCTACTGTAGTCTGTTTTAAAGTATGCTATACTATGTTCATTGGTTACTTAACTGGATATTAATATAAAGGTTATTACAAGAAAAATGATGAAGAGCAAAAGGAGAAGAAAATATTTGCAAGTGAATCCACAATTCTTGCAGAACTATTTGAGTTGATACTAAAGATTTTATGTTCACTCCTTTACCTTAGAACTGTCAAGCTTGGGAATGAGGAAAGTGCCTTGGCTGTGCTTGAAACCTGAATTTTAGTGCTTCCCTTATTACATTCATTGTTTTCAATGATTGATTTATAAAATTAAGACATACTGGTAGTACAAGTTGAAAGTTGGTTTGAATACATTTTAATTAAATGATAATATGTTAATATGCTTTTGTTCATTGCTTTCTCACTGAGGTAAAACAGCATTAAAAAGTTGTCCAGAATTTAAACTGACTCTAGATTTCTAGATTCCTAGGTGGCGGGAAAATGTAAAACTTTAAAGCTCATGAGCGGAACGCAATGCAAGTCCTGAAACTAAGAGTTAAATGTGAGTCTCAGGGAAAAAAGCTAGATTAGCAAATCAAACATACATATGCCTCATCCAGAACATCATTCAGGCATCAGTTCGGGGGCTACTAGCAGTAAAGTTGGTTTTAAATGAAATAAAGTGGAAAAGTTTGATATCACTTCCAGAAGTGGTCTGTCATCAGTAAGTATTGGTGTTGAGTCTAAAATGAATTAGAAACCTCCCGTTACTCTTAGGATTAAAGCAACCCGGTATGGAGAGAAATGAAAGAAAAAATGTAGTGTTAGCTTGACTTTATGTCCCTTTCACTGAATTCCATATGAGCCTATTTGGCAGAGAAATTTTGTACTCTACAAGGAAAACATCACTGATGTGGACAGCACCAATAATGTACGTCCCATTAAGCTAATAAATACCCAGACGGCCGTGTGAATACCTTGAATTCTTCAGAGAAGTGTGTTAGTGCGTTTAGTGTTGCTATAGCAGAACGCCTGAGGCTGGGTAATGATGAAAAAAGGTTTATTTGGCCCACATTTCTGGTGGCTGGAAAGTTCAAGATTGGGCAGCTGCATCTGGTGACAGCCTCATGCTGCTTTAACTCATGGTGTAAAGCCAAAGGGGAGTGTGGACCAGGTGCACAGAGATCACAAGGCAAGAGAAAGCAAGAGGAGGCCAGACTCAACCCAGTCTCCTAGGAACTCATGCATCCCTGCAAGAGGGAAAACGCCCCATCCCGAGGGCGGCCGTTAACCTATTCATGAGGGATCCGCCTCAGTAACCCACGCACTTTCTATCAGCCCCCACCTCCCAACACTTCCACACTGGGGATCAAATTTCAACAGGAGTTTTCCTGGGGACAGACTCCACCCAAACCACAGCAAAATGTGTGACCCAGTTTTTCTAAAATGCTTGTTACAATTTGCTAAAGAATCACCACCACCATCCTTAGCTCCATCCTAGAGAGGATGTAACAAAGAAAAGTTATTGAACCAGAAAGCTGAGTGTCCAGCCCGATCTAAAAGAAGTAAGCCAGGTGCAAGGGCTCGGCCAAGGCGGGTGGATCACCTTAGTTTTATCTATGGAACCCCACATTTAAGTACATACGCAGTGAACTGGGAATAGTTCATGTTATTAAGGGAAATATTGGGACGCTCCTGCTTTCCTTACCACTTTCTCCCCTCAGTTCAAAGAGGAGTACTGCTGCCTTCAAAACGGCATTGAACAGAGCTAATGGAAAAGAAAAATAGAGACAGATGTAAATTTAGTCTAAATACGAACTTGAAAAATGAAGTTGGATACCACACCCCCTCCCATTTCTTAAGTATTTTTTCATTTGTCATTCTTCTAAAGCCAAAGGTGATAAAAGTCATGCCTGCTGTGAGATCTGTATCTATTCCAGCAGGTTGATTGCCAAGAATTTGGTAATAGTGTCAACATGAGCCTTCTTGCTGAGCGCCCTCAGCAGGCTGTGAGGAATGCCTGAAGAGTTTTATGCACAGGAGGCTCTCGTGCCACTCCTTTTCAGTTTGAATTACTACCTGTTTCTCATGAATATTTCTTAAAAGTAGAAACTGTAGAATTCTGTAATGGAATTAAAATACAGAAATACCAGAGGAAAAAATTGTAGGCCACATATAGAAAAGGGTTGTTGTGTTACCCTATTGTATATCAATGGCTATAAAAATCAAATATTAGGGGGATAAAAAGCACTAGAAAGCACCCCAACAGACATCACGCATGCTTTGCACTTGCAGGTTACTCATATTGATGAATTAGCACCACCGTCAAATTTCTGAGTGCTTAATTGGTGTTAATTAAATGATGCAATCAGTATTTCTGTGTATATCAAAATGTACGAAAACCAAACTTGTGCCTCAAATTTATGTTAGTCAGATATGGTAAAGTGGTGTAATAGAATAGATGAATCTCTTACAATGAGAAATCAAGGGGGATCAGCATACCTTGAGTACATGTTCTCAAAAATACTCCCTTAGTGACCTGCTGGGCAGAAATTGCTATTGTAACCGGCAAGCTTCAAATACGTGGTCTGGGTAGACAGTAAAGCCAGGATATTTTAACGGAAGACATCTTTTATTCTACAATTTTAGCCTCTTAGACAAAATGTCCAAGTGTTTTACTCCCACCTCTCTTTAAGTTACGCTCTTCAACATCTCTAAGGAATTTAAAAGTAAAATATTTGTGAGAAGCCACGAGTCAAGAACTATAACTTGATAAGTATACATGAGTGTGCTATTTTTGTTTTGTTTTGTTCTTTGTTTTCTTTTTCTCTCAGAGCAATATAGGCTTGCTTTCCACAGTTGCACTAGGGACTGACTGTCAAAAGCATCCAAGTATCTAAATGGTTGGTGTATTGCAAAGCACACTGGAAAACAGAACCTGCTCCTGAGGAGTGTATGTGTTTTTCAGTAGGGCTATAAACTCTATGGTCATTAACCAAATGAAGATTTCAGTTCTGCATGTGTATTATGCCAGGTTGAATTGGCATATGTGTACTTATGGAGACAAGTTATCTTTAGCAAGGCTGCTGGCCATGTCAGTTTTTTGTCTGTTTTCTTTCATCATAGGAAACATCCCAAACTACTACAGATTATTTTTTGTTTTGTTTTTTAAACACTGGTCATTCTGGTGAAGTTTTTTGTTGTTGTTAAGCTAATTTTTTTTCCATTGTATATGTGCTTCCACTTTGTGGACACAGTAAATTTCACCTAAGTTATTTCATATCACAGAAAATTTAATAGGGGTTGATGATTAAGGAAGTAGATTTAAAATATATAGGAATTTTGAGACTGAACTGTCAATTGTTTCAATAGACAAATCCAATTTAGAACTCATGCTGATTTTTTAAAATTCCAAATACGAGTCAAAGAACTTTCAAAATAACGAAGTGATTTTATTCATTCAAGCAGTATTTATGTGCTAAAGTGATTGGGCTGAATACCATGCCTGGCCTCTGGGTAGACAAGAGTGAAGATACCATTCCTGCTTCAAACAGCTCACAGTCCCAGGTTAGAGAGAGAAATGGAATATAAAAGTAGTATGAGGATTATACAGCAGAATTCCAAGCCCCAGTTTTATGCAGAACATCGAGTAAATGATTCTTTTCTGTGAAGACAGGAGCTAAATGTTTCACAGTATGTTCATTTCAGAATGATGGCTAAACTTTAGTAGAAAGTCTTGCTTCTTGGTATAGTCATATTTGAAGTAATCTTATTCCTTGATATCATATTGATTTATGACTTCCCAAAAATATTTTTTGAAAGCCACTATGTTTTGGCTGTTGGGTTCCCAGGAGGAATTACCATTTATTTTCACCCATCTTTGGCTGCTGCTGAGAAAGACTTTTCTCCAGCCCTGGTACCTCTCCCTTTAGGCTTTCCTGGGCGCTTTCTTTGGATCCAAAGCCAAGTCCTAGTGTGATGTATCCCTAAGGGTACAATCCTCATAGTCCTAGTACTAAAGCCATTGCCAGTCTCAAAGTCTTTCATATTCCCATGAGATACCATTTAACATTGAAATTCAACCACTGTCCTTTAATCCTTTTACTATGGTCTTGTCTGAGAAGGATTTTATCTAAAAATAGTAGCTTTGCACTTAATCTCTGCAGTCTATATAAATTTAGGATAACATTCCTCTTCCTTCAGACTGTTTGTCCTTTCGTTGGTGTGAAAGTATACAGAGTACCCTTGAAGGTGGGAGCGCCATGGTGTTTTTCCTTGAGTTTCCTATCGCTAATGTTTAATTGCAATTGGAATGGAAGTGCTCAATAAATATTTGTTGAGTGAATAAATGCCACTATATCCTGTTTCCTACCTGTCCCTAGAGAATTGTCAAGTCAACTGATAGACTTAGCCCTGATATTGGTGTCGAAGCCAGTTGGCTGGCTGGAAGGCCGGTGAAGGCAGCAAGTCGCTCACAGGTTCTAAAGTGCACCAGAGCCTGGTTCGTGCATGTTATCAAGGCCGTGCCAGCGCTGGCTGTCCCATCGTCAGCTCTTCCATCTGCAAAAGTGAAACTGTACTCCTTACTCATATTTTAATCTTCAAGACGGAAGATTAATTGATATTCACTTTAAGCATATATCTATATTAAGTTATTGTGGGAGAGGCAGGGTATAGAAAATGGTTTAGTCCAGTTTCCATATCTGAGAGATAACCCAGGATCTTTTTGTAAGCATCAAAAATTAAACGATGTAGAATATTAAAAATTGATCAAAAGCCCTTAGAAGTGAAAGCAGTTTTGTTGATCATAAGAACTAACACTCTGTTGATTACAGATGAGAAATCAGATGCCCAGAGAGATATATCGGGAAATGATATCCATAAGTTCGTATACGTGGTTGACAGATTGGGAATAGAATCTCCTGTGTCAAACCCTTGCCACATGCTGAGAGTTGGCATCCTCTCAGCAGAACCTTCTACACGGAAAGGCATGGTTTTCTTCCTGGGCTCTGGATTCATTAACTTGTGGCTCTCTACTGTACTAACACCTCCGCACTTTATAACTGTTTCAGGCGGTATTTGCTAAAAGAAAGAAAAAACACTGCAAACAAAAAGGCACCTTTCCAGGCCAGGCGCGGTGGCTCATGCCTGTAATCCCAGCACTTTGGGAGGCCGAGGTGGGTGGATCACGAGGTCAGGAATTCAACATCAGCCTGGCCAAGATGGTGAAACCCCGTCTCTACTAAAAATACAAAAATTAGCTGAGCGTAGTGGTGGGCACCTGTAATCCCAGCTACTCGGGAGGCTGAGGCAGGTGAATCGCTTGAACCTGGGAGGCAGAGGTTGCAGTGAGTCGAGATCGTGCCACTGCACTCCAGCCTGGGAGACAGAGCGAGACTCCGTCTCAAAAAAAAAGGCACCTTTCCAAAAATGTGTCTTTTGGAATTCCACTATTTTGGAGGTCACACAGAAAGTGTCCGGCCTCAGAAGGGTGAAGTGGGAGCTCGCTCTTCCCGTTTCTCAAATGTGCTTGGCCTGGGAGAGGTGCCTGATAAATAGCATCTGAGTGAGTGATGGGCCTGCCTGAACTTCCGTCACTTCCTGTCAATTACTGCGATGGCCACACCCACATTCCCACCTCTGGTCCCAAGTCCATTCATCTTCATGCTTTCCGCAAACTCTTGCACAACTGACAAAATTCCCTCCATCATTGTATGACCCTGCCAAATGCCATATCCATTCTTTTTTCTCCACAAAGGAGAAAGGTAAGGAGAAGAAAGGGGTACATTGAGAGGCCTGGCTCCTGCCAAAACTCGGGGTCAGGTGGGCTCCCCACAAGAGGGCTTCCCAGAGGTTTTCCAATCATGGTACACTTGCAGAATCATATTTGAATGGGTGACTGGGGTCAACTGATGAGGCTGCTCATAGCTGGAGGCAGCCGCTCAGGGCTTAGCAGCAGACTGAACATTTCAGATGCATTTGGAATCCATTCCCTTCGTGCCAGAGCTGGGGAATGGGACAGCAGGACCCCCGCCACTCTGTGGAAAGGTAGCATCAGAGGTGACTGCACCAAAGTTGAATATAGTTGTAAAGCTGGGATTGTTCCCTATTACTGTATAGAACAATATGACAAATGTCACGTATTTCATTACTTAAGATTACAAACTATTTTAGTGACTAGGAAGTGATGCTAATCTATATCTTTTTTCTATCAAGACATAAGGTACTATCTACGAGATGTGAGTTTTAGTCTTCTTGGTATCCAACGTGTAAGTTCCATTCATAAATCATCATTCACCTACTTAATGACTCATAGCAGTAGAACATTTTATCAAGAGTTGACCTCTGGAAAATCATTTTACACCACTGTACACATTGATGAGAAAGCTATAGCGTACTGAAGATTTAGAACATTCTGAGTGTAGTAAGACGAGTGTTTTTTCTCCCTTTGACTGGCAGTGATAATGTTCACGTTATCAGGTATTTGAAGGACTATTTGGGTCAACTAATTATTTGATCCCTACCTACTACAAATCTCCTTTTCAAGGGATATGGATTATGGATTGGAGATTTCCACTTGGTATCAATGATGCTGAAATAACTAGGGTTTTTTTTTTCTTTTTTCCCTAGTAACTTCATTTACCATTGAATTTTGTGGGATTTCAGTTTATTTGAAGCTAGCATTATCTGATTCTCTTCCCGCAGAACTTAGTTCCCTATGGATTATATGACCTGGCATAGTAATCAGGGGGGTTCTTATTTCACTCTATTCAATGTTCTGTCGACTGACAATTTATTTAGTCCTAGTGGAGGCATTCATACTAATGCTTTCATCACACAACTGTGACTCTGCTGGGCCTGTGCACTTTAAAATCCAACTTACATCCAACGTGGGTTTCTCCAAATGGTGTAGCGGCTATCTAAACATAACTGAAATTTCTACTATTAGAACACTATATCACATCTAAATTGAGGCTTAGACCACAAACTTTTGTTTATTTAACCCAAAAATCATTCATAACAATAATTACTAGGGAATACAAATGCCTGTTCTCTAAAACAAAATTTAAAAACCATCTTACTGCTAATATTTGAAATTACTTACAGAATACTAAAAAAGCACACTACCAAATACGTGTCTCACAATTTTTGCCTTAAAAAGTTTTCGGGCTTCTAGTGGGAGTCCTACAGTTGTTTTAACAACAACAAAAATCAATTGATCTTGACTTGCTTTCATTGATAAATCTTTGAAAAGTATAGACTTAGATTAGGACTGAGAGAATTGAAATACAGTGGCCCCTTCTTATATATAGGGGATACATTTTCAGACTCCCAGTGGATGACTGAAACCATAGATAGCACAGAACCTGATTACGTTATGTTTTTTCTTTTTTCTATTTTGAGACAGAGTCTCACTGCTGGTGCAATCTCGGCTCACTGCAACCTCCACCTCCCGAATTCAAGCAATTCTCCTGCCTCAGACCCCCAAATAGCTGGGATTACAGGCATGTGCCACCACGCCCAGCTAATTTTTTGTATTTTTAGTAGAGACAGGGTTTCACCATGTTGGCCAGGCTGGTCTCGAACTCCTGTCCTCAAGTGATCCACCCGCCTCGGCCTCCCAAAGTGCTGGAATTACAAGCATGAGCCACCACACCCCGGCAATGTTTTTTCTTATATATTTGTACCTATGATAAGCTTTCACTTTTTCACTTAAAGGCAGCACTTACAATTCTCTTTGTCCCGTCTGAATTGCAAGCATCACTGCTCTTGCGCTTTGGGTCCATTATAAGTAAAATAAGGATGACTTGAACACAGGAAGTTAATCTGATAACTAAGACGGCTGCCAAGTGACTGCTGGGGGCCGGGGAGGTGTCTACAGCAAGGATATGCTGGACAGAGGGATGACTCATGTCCCAGGCGGAAAGGCACAAGATTTCATCACACTACTCAGAATAGCTTGAAATTTAAAACTTAAGAAAGGTTTATTTCTGGAACTGTCCATTTAATATTTTTCTAACATAGTTGACCTTAGGTAACCGAAACTTCAGAAAGGGAAATGTGAATAAGGGGGCACTATTGTAATCTAGCTTTAACCACTTTTCAGTAATCAAGAGGTGCACAGTATAGATTGAATGTGCATCACTCAGCACAAGGCGTCTAGTGAGAAACTGCAATGATGATGTCGATGACTTTACTGCGTGTGCTCTCCTGGGAATGATGGTCTTGGTTATCACTCAGAAACACTAGCAAACGGGGAAGTGAGGATCTTTAAGAAAAGCTGATTCTCACAATTCCTCTGGGGAGGTTTGTACCATGACTTAGAATCCTATCTCCCTATATATGATGTTTGGTTTTCTCCTCTACCTAGGAAGGGGAGAAGTACTTGAAGTTATCTTCTTGAGTTCTCAATTCCTAAGTCATACTTGGTAGTGTGATTTTGGCCATCAGTGTATGATTTTAAGTATTAGGAATAAGGCCCCACCACCACCCCAACACACTTTTAAATAATAAGACGTTCAGGCCAGGCATGGTGGCTCACGCCTGTAATCCCAGGCACTTTGGGAGGCCTGGCCTCACTTGAGGCCAGGAGTTCGAGACTAGCCTGGCCAACATGGCGAAACCCCATCTCTACTAAAAATACAAAAACTAACAAGGCATGGTGGTGGACGCCTGTAATCCCAGCTACTTGGGAGGCTGAGGCAGGAGAATCGCCTGAACCCGGGAGGCGGAGGTTGCAGTGAGCCAAGATCACGCCACTACACTCCAGCCTGGGCAACAGAGCAAAATTCCGCCAAAAAAACACAAAACAAACGAACAAAAACCAGGAGCTTGCCGTCTAGGCAGCAGCCCACAGAGCAGTAGCTCCCACACTCCAAGCCCCAGACCTGCCTGGAAAGACCTGGGAATAGACCTTGAAGATCTGAGGGTTTACCCTAGTGTGAAACCCCGTTCTGTGCCTGGCCACAGTTATGTCTGGAGGCCAGTGTGGCCAAATAGTAACATTTTAACCACAGGGAGTACAGACAGAAAGGGAGGCTTTCCCTCTGTGCGCCCCCCGGCTGCCCTTTCTCCTGTCCAGCAGAACAGGTTTGAGCTTTTATCATTATTCCAAAAAAATTAATATTTTTGAAGAAGTAGGAAAGTACTTGTACTTGTGAAACACTCAGAATTTCCAATTAGAAAGGCACATATTTAAGGTGCTGCATAAATTTTCTCATGTATCCATATTTCTCTGTCAGCATAACGCAGGCTCTCTGGAATATGGCTGCTTTCTCACTCTGGAGATTTTAGACAGGTAACTTCAACCTGAAACCTCAGGTCTCTCATCTATAAAATGGGGATAAAGTACCTATGTCACAGGGCTCCTAAGAGGGTCAACTGAGCTAATTAACGTAAACCTCTTAGCACATTGCCTGGAACTGGTGTGTGTTCAGTGAGTATGTGTCATTATTTTCCTCTATTGTTTCCTGTTGCTAAATTAAGAATGTGTATTTAGTCAAGGCACGGTGGTTCACGCCTGTAATCCAGCACTTCGGGAGACTGAGGCGGGTGGATCACTTGAGGTCAGGAGTTTGAGACCAGCCTGGCCAACATGGTGAAACCCAGTCTCTACTAAAAATACAAAAATTAGCTAGGCATGGTGGCATGCACCAGGAATCCCAGCTACTGAGGAGGCTGAGGCAGGAGAATTGGTTGAACCCAGGAGGTGGAGGTTGCAATGGGCCAACATCGTGCCACTGCACTCCAGCCTGGATGACAGAGTGAGACACTGTCTTAAAAAAAAGGGGGGGCGTATTTAATCTACCTGGAGTCATTGGGAAGTGAGTCATTTCCTGTCCTCTTTATAGCCTTGAAGATTTCATATGTCTTCTTAAGAAACTCATGTACTTTGGGGTGCCCATGTTACATGGTGAGTAAGATATTTTACACATTTTTGTACGATTAAAATAATGTGTGTACTTTATAAATAAGCTGTAGTTTTCCAGCAAAATCTAGCTAAACTCCTACCACAAATGTAACAGGCATATAAAATTGTGATTACCTAAAAAGT
This sequence comes from Homo sapiens, assembly GCF_000001405.40. Lineage (NCBI taxonomy): Eukaryota > Metazoa > Chordata > Mammalia > Primates > Hominidae > Homo > Homo sapiens. The sequence continues at coordinate 163,588,183 of NC_000006.12, forward strand.
CACTACTATGCAATGATATTTAAACCTTATATGTCCTCATATTAAATTCTGCTTTGTACATTGAACTGCAGTTTATGTGACCTGAATATTTATTTCAAAGATAAACAGTACCTACACATTGCTCCAAGGGTTAGATTAGGGTGTTTATTCCCAGGCATTTTTTTCTGTTGTATTCGGATGAGACACAGACACGTCAGACAATTTCATCAGTAATGAACAGGAAACACACCAGATGCCAGCCTCGTGCCAAAGACTCCAACTGATCACCAAGGAACATCTGCCAAAATGCTTTTTAAACTCTTGGAGCACAGCTGTGTCTGTGCGCCCTGCTCCCTCGGTTAAGCTTCCGCTGGCATGACCTGCAATGACCGGCGGGTCCTGATGTGCTTTTTCCCTGATGGTAAAACTTTTGAAAGTTTTTTCTTATGTCCCTGTGTCCCTGCGAAGCCCTTGAGTCAGGCCACCTGCAAGGGAAAACCTTGACCGATTCACAAGGACACATTCGTCGCTTTCTCAGGACGTGACTGGCGCCACCCTTATTCTCTACGGTCACACTGGTGTGCGGCCCACAGAGAGCCCTCTCTTGAGAAATGGGCACGATGACTTAGAAGGCTTGGCGGGCCACTCGTCCCTTTAAATTGAGGGCGCATGTAGAGTAAGCAATCTCATCTGAACGCCACCCGCTTGGCAGGCTTTTCCTCACCCCCTTATTGTAAGGCACCTTTTGCTTTACTATTTCCCCGGGGCGCAGGCCGGGATGCAGACAGAGGCTGGCTGTAGTCTTTGAAAGCACCATTGACTTGGTTTCGGGGGCGACCGCACACAGGGCACCAAGACCCTGTTGAAGGGATTAGGTCTTAGGTTGCCTTGTGCCCACAGTTTTGCTTTGCAAGGAGTCTAGCGCCTCTGAAGAATGTGACAGAAAATGTAGTACTAACAATAATACTCCCTGGAATTGCACATGGGCCTGCTTCTTTAACAGAAGAGAAAGGAGTAAGGATGAGGAGAGAGCCAAGGAGTAAGGGTGAACAGAAGACAAGAATTGAGATTTGGCCCCTGGGAGAGTCAGAGGAGAATTCAGTGAGAAGACTGGGAAGATGAATAGACCAAACAAACAATCCTCCTAACTGGGCAGCTGGAGGAAAATAAGGAGGAGGTAAAATTGCTGGTGTCAGTTTTTTTACACGTAAACTTACATTCTTGGGCTTTATATAGTATACTTTTTTAGTTGAACGAATGCTATAAATACGCATTTTTTTGTTTGAGTAGATTAGAATGCTTGTCACAAAGAGCCTTGTAATTGGCATTGTAGAAGCTTTCTGGGCTCCTGACTCTAAAAGAAGAATTGGCACAGGAGTGGAATTGCGGTGTGGAGGAGGGCTGCTTGTATGAACAGGAAACCATGGTGGAAGTTGTTCAGATGAATGACGTGCTGAGGTTGGAAATCCCATTTCTAAAATAATGGAGGTGTGATAGTCATGCCATAGGTCAGCTGACTAGAATAACAAAATTGAGTTGAGAATAAAGCTGAGAAAACTATTGAAAATCAGCCACGGAGTTGTGCTGGGCAACCTCATGTTTTACTCAGGATCTTAGGAAGTCTTTGCATGACCCAGGATTTAAAAGCATTCATGCAGTTAAAGGACTGCTTGTCGTGAAGAAACCTCAGGGACAAGAAAGGAATGAGCTTCAGTCTGAAGCCGGCATGAACGTAGGCTGGAAAAGAGATCACTACAGTCACAATTGCCAGGTGCGTCACCAGAGGCTGTTTCCATGTGACGTTCTTGCCACAATTTAGAATTAAATTTAATATCTTCTCCTCCCCTGTAGTGGGTGTGCCCTCAAAGCTCCAAAAATGGTTGAACCCAACAAGCCCAGCACTGAGCTGTCTCTCCATCTAGACTCCCTTCCCCTCAGCTATTTCCCCCCTCACCTTCCATTCGCTGGCCAAGGTGGAACCCTGGAAGTCAGCCTTGCCCCCGCATCCCAGCTGCCCTCCCTCTGCTCTGTTGAGAGGTGAGGCCAGCTGGACTTCCTGGGTTGAGTGGGGACTTGGGGAACTTTTCTGTCTTACAAGAGGATTGTAAAATGCACCAATCAGGAACTTTCCTGTCTTACAAGAGGATTGTAAAACGCACCAATCAGCATAAAACACACTAATTAGACTAAAACACACCAATCAGTGCTCTGTAAAACGCACCAATCAGCAGGATTCTAAAAGTAGCCAATCGCAGGGAGGATTGAAAGAAAGGGCACTCTGATAGGACAGAAACCAAACATGGGCGGGGACAATAAGGAAATAAAAGCTGGCCACCTCGACCGGCGGCAGTAAGCCGCTAGGGTTCTCTTCGAAAGCCTTTCACTCTTCACAGTAAATCTTGCTACCGCTTACTCTTTGGGTCCGTGCCATCTTTGAGAGCTGTAACACTCACCGGGAAGGTCGGCGACTCCGTTCTTGAAGTCAGCACCACCACGAATCCACTGGCAGGAACCAACTCCGGACACACTGTGGTTTTCCCTGTTGTTGGCCTTTGGGCCTCCCTGTTCTCCACCAGCGCAGCCTGGAATCTCCACAGCCCCCGGGGCTCTACTTCCTGCAGCCTCAGCTGCTCCTTCACACGGTGGAATCCCCGCCAGACTCATCAGGGCTTAGGCCTGGGCCTTCCCACTCCCGCCTCTGCTTTCTTTTTGAGTCTGGAGCCTAGAAAGAGCCTGTGTTTTGGATGATCCTCCTTCCTGCAAGGCCCCAACATGCCATTTCCCCAGCCCCGTCGGGGGCAAACGTTGGTACTGAAGGTGCCGTCCTGTGCTTGAAGCGGCGTTCTTCCAGATGGTCCTGGGGAACACACTCTTTTTCCACAAAGGCCCTTCAGCGGCGCCTTGTCCACCCATCCCCTCTATAGTCCCCTCTATTCCGACTTCTCCAGCCACTCCTGCCCTGCGCATCTCCCCAAACGCCCCGCCTTTATGTGATGGTATGCTCTTCTCCAAATCACCTCGACATAGCAAAAGCACTCCACAGAGACCAACTGTTCCTATCATTGCCCCCCAAAACATACTCTTGGAGGGCTTCAATCAACCGGAGACACGGCCATTTTACCAGAGAATCCCGGCAACGCCCCCAACATCCTCCCTGCCTGTCTCTCCGTCGTCATCTCTCCCCACCTACCCTGCCCTTCACCCTCTAAGCTCGAGTCGTGTATAAATTATTGTTGCACAAACTTTTTTTTTTGAGTTGCAGCCGAAGTCTTGATCTGTCGCCCAGGCTGGAGTGCAGTGGCGCGATCTCGGCTCACTGCAAGCTCTGCCTCCCGGGTTCACGCTATTCTCCTACCTCAGCCTCCCGAGTAGCTGGGACTGCAGGCGCCGCCACCATGCCCGGCTAATTTTGTATATTTAGTAGAGATGGGGTTTCAACATTGTTGGCCAGGATGGTATTTTCATAGGTAAGTTAAACAGAATCCTTTCCATATATCAATTCTAATAATTTGTTAAAGAAAAAAAAATTTTTTTTTTTTTGAGACAGAGTCTCACTCTGTCACCCAGGCTGGAGTGCAGTGGCACGATATCAGCTCACTGCAACCTCCACCTCCTGGGTCCTGCCTCAGCCTCCCGAGTAGCTGGGATTACAGGCGCGCGCCACCACGCCTGGTTAATTTTTGTATTTTTAGTAGAGACGGGGTTTCACCACGTTGGTCAGGCTGGTCTCGAACTCCTGACCTCGTGATCCACCCACCTCGGCCTCCCAAAGTGCTAGGATTACAGGCGTGAGCCCGCCCGGCCACAAACATTCTTTTCTACCCCCAGGCTTTCAGCATGTCACCTAATTCCTCCCAAAACCACTGTTTGCTCCCTCTTTTTGCCTGCCTAACTGATCCTTGTTTTTCGGCACTTAATTGGAAAGTCTTGTCTGAACTGCCAAATGGGTTAGTTGCCTCTTCAAGTACCTCATGGCTCCAATGAAGCACTCTGGGAATGTTTGCAGCACTTTTCTTACTCCTCTGTTGCCTGTCCTCATGTCTCTCTCCCCTACCTTGTCATGACGTCTTCGAGATGGGAGCTGTGGGTTATTTCATCTTCATGTCTCAGCCCTCAGAATGGGTTCTGACACTTCGAAGGTCATTAATAAATGTTTGTTCTAAAAATGAATGAGTGGCTTCTGTTTAGAGTAACATGGCACACTGGGTACCCAGAATATGTTCCCATTGAAAACAGCAAAAAATGTGGGATAAAATATATTGTCAGTTTTGTTGGATAAAATATATTGTCGGTTTTTAAAAAAGCATTAACAAAAGAGTAAGAAATCCTCTGGCTAAAATTTAGATGAAGTCATGAACGCAGAGGAATAACTGTGGTACTGAGACTGGTTTTTGCTAAGGAGGTATTAGCCAACCTATGTAGCGTGCTTCAATTTTTATCATTTTTTGAGGCACGGAATACAGTAGTCAATACCTGGGGTCAAGCCAAGGTGGGGTTCCAGTAAGAGGCCTTCACCCCATAGCACTGGGACTCCTCAGAATAATAGCAAATTAGAAGGGACTTGCCCACCCACAGAGATACACAAAGGACTGCCAGGAAAGTGCCTGTTTGCAGCCTTCAGTCCGAATGGTAGAGGGAGAAAAAAGAAAGCAAACAATGAAGAGTTTAACCACAGCTGCCTTTATACCAATTAGTAGCCAGAATTCAAACCACCTTGCTGGACTAAAAAATAATCTCAAGCCAAAGATTTAAGGAGGTACCTTACTAACACCTTTCAGAAACAAACACAAATCTGCTCTGGAAAAAAATCCTTCTTCATCCCGGGCCTCGGAATATATTAACAAATACAGTTTCAGGACAAATGGCATCTGGCAATCAGAGTGAATCAACAAACAACAAGGAAATAAGGCACCATGAGTGAAAACTAGAATGTGTGTGGATATGACTACAGATACAGATACAGATACAGATACAGAAGCAGATACAGAAGCAGATATATAGATTCAGCAGAAGTAGAGTCACAAAGATTTCAATTATGAGAAGTATCAGACACCGATATAAAATTACTGTGTTTAATAAATTTAATGAAATAAAAGACAAGCTTGAAAATATGTATGGAGAACAAGAAACTATTAAAAAAACACATATAAATAACACAAACAGAATGTCTATTAATGAAAAATGTAAGAATTGAAAGGAAAATCCCAATGTATGGGTTTTGTGGAAGATTAGATACAGCTAAAGAAAGAATTGTCCAGATGTAGCACAGATAAATAGGTAGACAACATGAATGAGAGATTTAAAAATATGAGGATAGACTAACTTCCGATATACACCTAGTCAGGGTTCTGGAAGGAAAAAGAAATCATTAGGCAAAGCCAATAAGTAGACAGTGACTGAGAAGTTTCCAGAACTAATGAAAAACACCAAATATGGTTTCAAGAAGATCAGTGAATAAAAGGAAATCCACATCTAGACTATCAAACTAAATGTTATAATAAACCAAACTATTTCAAGAATACCTAAAAAATACATTTTCAGATGAACCAAAAGTAAGAGAGCTTGCCAACAGACCCATGCTAAAGAAAATAATGGGCCGGGCGCGGTGGCTCAAGCCTGTAATCCCAGCACTTTGGGAGGCCGAGGTGGGCGGATCCTGAGGTCAGGAGATTGAGACCTTCCTGGCTAACACGGTGAAACCCCGCCTCTACTAAAAATACAAAAAATTAGCCGGGGCGTGGTGGCGGGCGCCTGTAGTCCCAGCTACTTGAGAGGCTGAGGCAGGAGAATGGCGTGAACCCGGGAGGCGGAGCTTGCAGTGAGCCGAGGTCACGCCACTGCACTCCAGTCTGGGCGACTGAGCAAGACTCCGTCTCAAAAAAAAAAAAAAAAAAAGGGGCCGGGCGCGGTGGCTCACGCCTGTAATCCCAGCACTTTGGGAGGCCGAGGCGGGCGGATCACGAGGTCAGGAGATCGAGACCATCCTGGCTAACACGGTGAAACCCCGTCTCTACTAAAAATACAAAAAATTAGCCGGGAGTGGTGGCGGGCGCCTGTAGTCCCAGCTACTCGGGAGGCTGCGGCAGGAGAATGGCGTGAACCCGGGAAGCGGAGCTTGCAGTGAGCCGAGATCGCGCCACTGCACTCCAGCCTGGGCGACAGAGCGAGACTCCGTCTCAAAAAAAAAAAAAAAAAGAAGGAAAATAATGTTGTTCAGACAAGTGATCCTTGATGAGACATCTGATGTGCAAACAGAAGTAAAGATCACAAACAGTTGTAAATATATTTTGGTCGTATAAAAAATATTTGGGGGTTTACCAAAAGCAAGATAAAATTAAATACCCAATAATAGTGCATACATTAGACAGGGGGGAATGGAATTAAGATATTGAATCGGCCGGGTGCAGTGGCTCACGCCTGTAATCCCAGCACTTTGGGAGGCCGAGGCGGGCAGATCACGAGTTCAGGAGATCAAGACCATCCTGGCTAACACAGTGAAACCCCGTCTCTACTAAAAATACAAAAAATTAGCCAGGTGTGGTGGTGGGCGCCTGTAGTCCCAGCTACTCGGGAGGCTGAGGCAGGAGAATGGTGTGAACCCGGGAGGCAGAGCTTGCAGTGAGCCAAGATCGTGCCACTGCACTCCAGCCTGGGCAACAGCAAGACTCTGTCTCAAAAAACAAAAACAAACAAACAAAGATATTGAATCATTCAGATTAGACTGGTTTATTCTCCAGTAACAAGCAGTCTTGAAGTGTCAGTGACTGAACACAGGGAAGCTTTATTTTCCCTTGTACTGCATGGCCCATGCAGGTTGGTGCAGTGCTCATTTAATCAAACGACACCCAACGACCCAGGGTGACAGTTCATCTCAACACATCTTTCTGAGCTCATCATGGCAAAGGGAAAAGAATAAGATGAATTAATTCATTGGCTCTTAAACACATATGACTTCCTTCACCTCTTATTGGCCAAAGCATGTCACATGGCCATATCTAAATTCAAGACATCCAGGTGAGGAAGGACAATCCTGCCATGAGACCAAAAGGAAGAGCACTGGACTATTTATGAACACCTCTAATGATAAGTTCTTGTGTTTCTTGGGAACAGGATAACAGGATTTCTCCAAAGAGGATTTGTGTTTATTTCTGTAAACATGATAGGACATGATAAGTCAACCACAATTAGAATAATTACAGTGTATAACCTCCATTCTTGAGGAAAGAAAAAAATAGGATGAGAAAAATTTTCATCAATCCAAATAAGACAAAAAATTAGAGAGAAATAAAAAGCCAGGAAAAATAAGAAGCGCAAAGTAAGGTAGTACATATAAATGCAAACATATTAGTTATAACAAATTTAAGTGAACTAAAAGCTCTAGATAAAACACAAAAAACTTAGACTGGACTTTTAAAAAATCTAACTATATGTTGTTTATAAGAAACATATCCAGGCCAGGCATGGTGGCTCATGCCTGTAATTCCAGCACTTCCGGAGGCCGAAGTGGGCAGATCACTTGAGGTCAGGAGTTCAAGACCAACTTGGTCAACATGGTGAAACCCTGTCTCTACTAAAAATACAAAAATTAGCTGGGTGTAGTGGTGCACACCTGTAATCCCAGCTACTCGGGAGGCTGAGGCAAGAGAATCACTTGAACCTGGGAGGTGGAGGTTGCAGTGAGCCAAGATTGCACTACTGCACTCCAGCCTGGGCAACAGAGCCAGGCTCCATCTCAAAAAAAAAAAAAAAAAAAAAAAAAAATCCAAAAGACCAAGATATAAAAAGATTTAAAGTTAGAGGATGGAAAAAATTACCAGCAAAATTATAAGCAAAAGAAAGCAGAATTTCTAAATTAAGATGGAGTTAAGACAAAAAGTTACTGGAGATAATGATAGAAAGTTTAATTTGTCAATATTTAACTACTTTAAAATTTGAGGCAGTTACATAAAACAAAAAATTATCAGAACTCTAAGGAGAATTAAGCCAAACCACTTTCAGTGTGAGAAATTTTAATGTAATTTTCTAATAATTAATAAAACGTACACAAAATAAATAGTGATAAAAAGAGAAGATAGAATATTTAAACAATATGATTAAAACTATTGACCTGTATTACCTGTTTAGAACACTGCTCAGCAACTGCTAGATACACATTAACTTTACACTGTGTCAGAGCAAGTCTTCAAAAGGACTGAAATAATTTAGACTATGTTCTCTGTCCACAGTCCTATTAAGCTAAAAATCACTAACAAATGTATAACTAGAAATCCCTCATAAGTTGGGAAACTAAAAAACAAACACACTACTGAGGTCATGGGTCAAATAAGGAATCATAATGAAAATTAAACCTATTTTGAACTGATCGGTAGTAGAAGTACTGTATATTAAAATGTGTATGAAATAATGAAAGCTGTAAATAGAGTGTAAGTTATAACTTTGGATATTTATGTTACAAAACAAGAGAGGCCAAATGACAGAGCTAGGTTCTGGTGGGAATGTGGTGGCAGCCACATCTTCATGTTTCTCCTCCTAAAACCATACAGAGAAACAAGGAAAATGTATGAAAACACTAATAATATACACCTTTCTGAAAGACTAGAAGATAGAGGAAACCTGCAAACTTCATAGCATCAGTAAATTTTGGGTAAAAAAAATCCCACCACCGCCAGAAATAATCAATACAGATAGCCATTATGGTGGGGGCAGAAAATAAGTGGGTATTCCCAGAGGCTTAATGGAGACACAACCCAGAAAACATCAGCAAATATTTATCCCAGAAGAAGACACCAACTTGAATGGAAATTCTGCTGGCAGGTCTGAGAATGAATAGGACAACAGATGAGTACTAGGAGAGAGGGAAGAAAAAAGTATGGAAACTGCATGGAATCAAGGGTCCTTAGACTAACGAAATTGTCATTCTAGCAACAAATGAAGTAACTCTTTAACTGAGAGACCAAGAAAAGTAGCCCTGTAGTGAATTTACATTCTCCTATTAAGAGCCAGCCCAGTGAAATCCAACTCACAAAAATATGAATTTTACAAGTAAAAATTCTGCATCTGTAGATACTATAAGAAAAAGAAAATTAAAGCTTCTTGGCAGACTGGAAGAAAATCAACACCAAAAAAGCAACAAATTCACAAAAAGAGGATGATTGACATATAATATTCCAAAACGAATTTTTAAAGAAAAAACATCGTGTGAAGCAACTGCACCTCTGGAAGAACATCATGAGAAATAGCACTGAAAAAATTCAGAGAAGAGATGATTGGAACTCTGGAAAAAATCTGAAGAAAAATTCAAAATCATTTCATATTGCAAAGTGCACAAGGGAGACTAGATATCACGGAAACAAGAGTAAGGGACAGAACAGATAGAAATGAGAAAAGTCTAAAAAATGGGGAAGAATAGATTAAAGGAATTCGAGGAAAAAAATGATAGACTAAATATAAGCAAGAGAGATCTAACATTTGTATAATTGACATGCCCAAAGATATAAAACAATGAAATAGAACAGATGTTTAAAACTATAATTCAGGAACACTTCCCTAAAGATTTTTTAATTGAGGAGAGTGAACTTAACATTCATATGGAAGAGATACACGCTTGAGAATGTTTAAGAAAAAGAATAGTAAGAGAGGGCTTGACCTAACAACTAGTGAAATTAGCAAGCCACTGTATTCAAATCAGAGTGGGAACTGCATAAGAAGAGACACTTTATCAGTGAAACAGCTAGAGGGTCCAGAAATAGATCTCAATTATATAAGAATTTAATACGTGACAAAGTACTGTTTTAATTCAGTGGGCAAAGAGGATATTATTTAATACAAATTCTGGCATTGCCAGCCATCTGTTTGTAAGAAAGTAGAAGTAAATAAAATATATAAGACCTGATATCACACACACCAAAAATTCTGGGTGAATTAGAAATTAAATTATAAAAGTAAAAAGAACAATCAAATCTCTCAAGAAAAACTAGGTACTACATTTACAGTCTAGGGGTGAGAGATATTCCTATCTGGCAACCTTGAAACAATAATAGACTTATGTGAATACATAGAAATTAGAAACATTTATATGGGAAAATAACATAAAAATGAACAGAAACACAGAAAAATATAAGCATTATGGAGAAAGGGGTTTGAGCTCTATAATAAACAGAAGAGTCTGAATAATTGGCAAGAAGGGCATAAACCCTCAATAAAAAAGTGGGTAAGAGATTTGCAGAGGCAATTGGCAAAGGATTGAATTCAAAAGGCCAAGTCAAAAGTATGAAAATGCAAAACAAAACAAAAGCACAGTGACAGTCTGGTCCCATGATATTTTTTTCTCAACCATCAAAGAGTTGGCAAAAGAGAGAAACAGAAAGAGAGAGAGAGAGAGAGCACATGAGAGAGAGGCTGCTGCTGTGAGGCTGTATGGATATGGATTATTTACTGGAAGAGTCCCACTCTTGAGAATTGGGCCCATGGAAACTAGAGCATCAATTCGTAAGCATATTTGTACAAGGATATTTATCACAACATTTTTCATAGTGGCAAAGTCTAATGAATGTTCAGAATAAGAAAATCATTGAATAATTTATGGTACAACCACTTGGAAATTTAGGCAGCAGTTACAAAAAGAATGAATTGGAATTATAACAGGTGAGTTAAAGGGATTTTTATCAGATTTGTTGAGTGTGGAAAACCAAGATTCAGAAAACTCTCTATAATGTGATCTCGCTTTGATTAAAAAAATAACCAAACCTTCATTATATATGTATAAGTATATGCACATCATAAATATGTTTACATATGAACATGGAGAAAAATATTTAAAAATGTATAATAGATTGTTGGCATCATATGGTGGAGATGGCCATGTCTACTGGTCCCCAGAACTCCACTTGCCACACTGGTTTCCTTGCCATCTGAACCTGAACATCAAACCCATGCCACATTTTAAAGTTTTTTGTGTATCCACTTCCAGATAACAATTTCTGTATTGGTTGGGTAACACAAACTGCTATAAAATTGACCAAGAGATCTAATGGCTCCAATTAGGTAGGAGTTTATTTCTTGCTGACATAACTGTCAAAGGCACATGTTCAAGGTTCACTAATTCTGGGAAATAGATCATGAGAGACCTGGTGACCTGTATGCTGTGGTGAAACATTTGTAAACTATTCTTGCAGGAACTTGGAAGGTGGACCACAGGCCTACCCAGCCTGGAGCTCCAGGAAAAGCAACTGGCAAATACCAGAATTTGGGTGTGTGTGGTCTACTCTTGGCTGCTTTTAGCAAGATATTAAAAGAAAGAGGGAGCTCAGAAAAGAATGGCCTGGTGAGTAGGAAGAGGTGGAGTGGAGCAAAGGGAGTATAGAGATTTGGGGGCCAGACCAGATGGAACGGCCACTGCTTCTGTACCCCAAACAGCAGGTGATAAGACGATGCCCATTGCTCAAAACCTTTCCAAATGACGTCTTGCTAAGAAAAAAAAGGAGGGGAATCCATCCTTGTAGAAAAGCTTGTTGTAAAGATGGAAATGAGGCAGGAGACCAGCAGGATTTGTTTTCTGGTCACAACCCTGCTGACCAAATCAGAACCTGGTCCACACAGGATAAAGTGAAGAAACCGACAGGAAGCAGCAAATGGCTAACAAGGTGATCCCTAGCTGCCCTCACTGCTCATTGGCATAAGATACCACCACCAGCACCATGACAGTTTACAAATGCCATGGCAGTGACCCAGAAGTCATGCCCCTTTCCATGGCAGCTATCCAAAAGTTTCTGAACATTTCCAAGGCAATGACCTGGAAGTCACTGCCCCTTTCCTAGAAAGTTCTACATAACCTGCCCCTCACTTTACATTGACCCGCTCCTTAATTTGCATGTAATTAAAGTGGGTTTACATGGGTATAAGTACAGCTGCCTATAGCCCATATGCTGCTGACTCTGGGGGCGCTGCATATGAGTTAGCCAGCTCTCAAAGCAGCAGTGCAGTTCAATCAAAGATCTCCTTCTTCCCTGGGTACAGCCAAGAGCCCTCCCAGGCTAAACCCCGGTTGTGAGGCTCACCTGTCCTGTCTGCGAAGGGTGTCGCCCATTATTTCAGTTGGCCTCAGTTTAGCTGTTATTACACTGAGAGAAGGGCAGGTGCACAAGGAAGGAAAAAGTACAGGATCAAAGCTTACTTAAGAACTACAAATAGGTGAAGCTTTGGGTGTAGTTCTCAGCACATGGAGTGGTCTAAAAGCAAATGCACTAGAAGCCTCCGAAGAGTCTGGGAGAATTACATTGTCAAAGGAACCTCAAGCCTGGCCTGTGCTGAGTGGGTGTGCAGGGATCTGTGCCAATCTGAGCCTCAGGAGGATGCATGGCATTCCAAGCTTGTCCCAACACCACGTGGACTGTGTGAGCGCCGTGCCCCAGGGAGGACACACTCCTGAGGACAAGGCTTCCCATAGGAGAAAGTGGACCAGGAATTTCCTCCCAGAGGGAAAAACTGAGGTCAAATCAAGGCACATTCCCTCAGCCAGGACAGTTGTTATCACGGTTCCTTCCCAGCTGGACCCCTTGTTGCTATGGACCAGTGACAGCCATTGGTTCCTCTTTCCTCCCTTTCCGCATGAGAATTTCTACTGCAGTTACCTGTGTCTGCTCCAGCACATGTTAGGTGTATGTGTGGGAGGCCTAAGTATTGCCTTTTAGTTTCTGGATCACCAGACAATGAATGATGTCCATGCCTGAGGAGGAGGATGAAGTCACCGGGTGTCCTCTGCGCTGAGCTCGACCTAGTTCCTGAATGTGACCTAGACATAGGGCTGTCTGCTTTGGGAAGGGCAGTCAGGGCCATCTACATGTGGACGAAGGGAGTGCACACAACGAACTGATGGCTGGGATGTGGAAGTCCAGGTGGGAACAGCGTTCTATAGCCTCCCCATCCCCCACCCCCATCAACAGCTAAGTGTGTTTCCTCGACTCAGCTCCCTCCAGTGCGATGTGAGGGAAAGGGTGATGCACAATCCCCGCCTCATGTTCATGGGCTTCTGCTCATCCCCTCTCCAGGCTGAAATGGTGATGATGAGCATGGCCTTAGAGAACACGCATAGAAGACAGCAGAGCCTCCATCACTGGGTCCCCAAATAACTGTGCTGAGGAGAGCCATCTGCCCATTGAGACACCTGCACTGAGTTAGTTGCACAAGGCGCACACCTCCATCTAGTTTGAGCCATCATAATTTTTTTTAGATATGACAGCTGGTATAACCCTGACAATACACGTAGTTTACTGGGGGAGGGATAGTGTGACTTATGAGACGGTGTGTTTGTTTCTTATGGTTGCTGTACCAAAGTACGACGCATTCAGTGGCTTAAAGTGACACAAATCTGCTTTTAGTTCTGGAGGTCAGAAATCTACAATGATTTCACAGGACTGAGTTCCTTCCAGAGGCTCTGGGGGAGAATCTGTCTCCTCGCTTTCTCCAGGATTTCGAGGCTGCCACACTCCTTGGTTCATGGCCTCTTCCTCCATGTTCAAAGCCAGTATGTGGCCTCTCCCCTCCTCCCTGTCCTCTGCTCCCACCATCACACTTCCCTCTGACTCTGACCATCCTGCGCCCATCAAGACCCTGCTGACGACATGGAGCCCCCCTGGAATAATGCAGGATCATCTCCCCACCCAGACCCTTAATTTAATCCCATCTACAAAGTCTTTTGTCTTGTAAGGTGACATTCACAAATTCCAGGGGTGAGGATGTGGACCTCTCTGGGGGAAGCCATTATTCCATCTCCACAGAGAGGGGAAAGAGGGGAAGGAGGAGGGAGGAGAAATTAAACCAAAAAACCCATAAAAACAAAAAAGTCCCAGCATTTGTCTATTAAGAAAAATTGTATGCGTATGTAAAAAAGTAATTTTTAAAGGGAAAAATATTTGAATAAATGAAAAAGAAGAGGAGGAGGAAGCAGAGAAAGAGAAGAAAGAGGATGAGGAGGAGGACAAAGAGGAGGAAGAGGGAGAGGCGGAAAGGATTAGATACTTTTGAGGAAAAATGTAACCTAGTATATCCATTCATGCCTCTGGGCAGGAAAAGGTATTTCACGAGAAAGCATTTCAAAATTAGATTTCCTTTTTTATAGTTTGAGTTCCGGTTCCCTTGTTGAGAACAGAAAAGCAAGTAAAGGCACGGATGGGAATTTTATTTTTAAAAAGTTCCCAAGGTGCTGCCTTTCTAGAACAGAAACCTGCTACTCTGTCTTCATTATGGGCTCAGAAATTCTTTTTTGTTGTTGTCGTTCTATCTAGCGTTCATTGAACAGCCTCCGCCTAACCGCCAAGCTCAGCTTTATCTGATGTGTGCCTATGGACAGGTGCTAGGAAGATCCTTCGAAAGCTGAGTATCTTTTAAAGATGATATTGAGAAAAAGTAGCACCTAAAATAAAATTCTTAGAGCATCCCTAGGAGAGAAATTAGATACCTATTTTTATCCTCTTTTTCAATTCAAATTTTCTGGAACCAAGAGCAAGATGACTGTGTTAGCTTTTTCCTTTCTTTAATTCATACAAAATTTTAAGAATAAAAATTTCCTTTCCTTCTGGTACCGTTTTCTCACGCTTGAGACGGAGAGTACTCTCGTGGAGGCCACCAATGAAGTAACTCTAGTTCAGGAGCATCCCGGGACAAGGATGTGCATGGTGTTGCAAGGGCACCTTCCCCCGGAATCCCAGCTTGCTGCCAGAATCCTCCTCCCTGCAGCGCCCGGGCCTCACTTTAGGTGACCCTCTGCTTGGAAATCTGTTTGTTGTCCCTAATGTAGAAAGTGGGCTTGCCATGGAATGGGGATCCAATGACCCAGTGGAAGGAAACGGGAGGACCGCAGTAAGCATGTGAGCCGGGGAGGCAGGCATGGAACCGTGCAGGTGGGTAATGGCGGGGGACGCCAGAGCCAGGCCCGAGCTTGGGCAGAGCTCCCAGCGCAGATGACGGGGTTGTGGGGAGTCAACCGGGGTGAAGGCTCAGAGCAGAACTCTGGTGTGAGGGTGATTTGGTGCTTTTTTAGGCTAAATCTCCAGGTGTTGATCGGAGGTCTAATTTTATTCCTTGTTTTCAGATTTTATTTGGAGTCCTAAACGGAACTGGTGGAATTGTGTGTGTGTGTGTGTTGCTATAAATGTCCAGCCCAGTGGGAATACAAAGAGGTAATTATTGTTGCTAAGCTCTTATTATCCTGGTGGAATTGACAGCAGCCACCGTTTCTCTCCAGCTTTTCTTGATCTAATCTATTCAGTCAATTCTGTGGGATTCAGTGAAGATTTGTGGCAGGAATTCCTGAGCTACACATAGGGGCAGCCTGTGGCCACTGGCTGTGTACCGAGTGATGGCATTATGGGGAAAGTTCTCTAGTTGGAAGGGATGTAGGGGTCTCCTCTGGCCTAACCTCTCATCCAGTAGGGGATTGTAGAAGCCTTTAGACAGAACATAAGCCCCACCCACTCCCTTTGTTCTTAAACCTTTGTAGTGACACAGAGCAGACTTCGTCAAGCAATACATTTTCAACCCCAATTATAAATTGATCTTTCTTTCTTTCTCTTTTTCTTTCTTCCTTCCTTCCTTCCTTCCTTCCTTCCTTCCTTCCTTCCTTCCTTCCTTCCTTCCTTTCTTTCTTTCTTTTTCTTTCTCTTTCTTTCTCTTCTTTCTTTCTTTCTCTTTCTTTCTTTCTTGAGACAGAGTTTTGCTCTTGTCACCCACGCTGGAGAGCAGTGGCACGATCTTGGCTTACTACAAGCTCTGCCTCCTGGGTTAAAGCAATTCTCCTGCCTCAACCTCCCAAGTAGCTGGGACTGCAGGTGCCTGCCACCATGCTCGGCTAATTTTTGTATTTTTAGTAGAGAATGGGGCTTCAACACATTGGCCAGGCTGATCTTGAACTCCTGACCTCAGGTGATCCACCCATCTCAGCCTTCCAAAGTGCTGGGATTACAGGCGTGAGCCACTGCACCCAACCTTGAACTTTCTTTACATTGATTGAAAACTGTCTCTCTGGGTCTTCTTCCCATTGGCCCAGGATCTGTTTTTTGGAGCTAGAGCCACTAAGTCTCTCTCTAGCCTGTTAAGTCCTTCAAAGAGCTAAACATCCCTGATTTGTTTTTTGTTTTTTTGACCTGTTTTTTTGGTATGGCAAATATTATCATAGTCATATCTTTAATGGATGAAAACATTCCCGAGTTTCAATCAGTAATGGTTTATTCCAAGGAATATGTGGTACATGAACATCACAGCACGACATGAGCACCAAGATAACCACTTCAATGATTTGACTTGCAAGACTTTTGACTACCAGGTTGTTCTATTTCTGGAAACTAAGAAGTACAAATTGGATAGGTAAAAATCAAGGAATGTTTTTAGGAATATAAATTTGCTAGGTTCTGAAAGATGTCAAATCAAAGTAACCAATGGGGCTATGTACAATCAATGGTCACCAGAAAAGGAAGCAATACTATGAAAATGGAAATAAAAGTTTTGCATTATAGAAAATAGACTATTTAATTATAAGCCTATCTCACATGTATTTAATACTAATACTGACTTTAACAGCACGCAGAATATATGTCCATAAATGTCCTTTTTTTCTTTTCTATTTATGATAAAGAAAGCATATGAGAATTACTGGGTCACTGCCTACTGGAGTTGTGAGAAGAGGGCCACAGTCCTCCAGACCCCAGAATGGTAGATCCACCGACAGCTTGCACTGTATTCCTGGAAAAGCCTCAGACGTTCAACGCCAGCCTGTGAAAGCAGCCAGGAGTGGGGCTGTACCCTGCAAAGCCACAGAGGCAGAGCTGCCCAAGGCCATGGGAGCCCACCTCTTGCCTCAGCGTGACCTAAATGTGAGACATGGAGTCAAAGGAGATCATTTTGTAACTTTAAGATTTAATAGTTGCCCTATTGGATTTTGGACTTAGATGGAGCCTGTAGCCCCTTTGTTTTGGCCAATTTCTCCCATTTGGAATGGGTGTATTTACCCAATGCCTGTACCCCCATTGTATCTAGGAAGTAACTAACTTGCTTTTGATTTTACAGGCTCATAGGCAGAAGGGAGTTGCCTTGTCTCAGATGAGACTTTGGACTTGGACTTTTGAGTTAATGCTGTAATGAGTTAAGACTTTAGGGGACTGTTGGAAGGGTGATGATTGTGTTTTGAAATGTGAGGGCATGAGATTTGGGAGGGGCCGGGGCAGAATGATATGATTTGGCTGTGTCCCCACCCAAATCTCATCTTGAATTGTATTTTCCATAATCCCCACATGTCATGGGAGGGACTTGGTGGGAGGGACCCCGTGGGAGGTAATTGAATCTTGGGGGAAGTTACCCCCATGCTGCTGTTCTTGTGATAGTGAGTGAGGCTTTCTCCCTTTTGCTCAGCACTTCTCCTTTCTGCCGTTATGTGAAGAAGGTTATGTTTGCTTCCCCTTCTGCCATGATTGTAAGTTTCCTGAGGCCTTCCCACCCACGCAGAACTGTGAGTCAATTAAACCTCTTTCCTTTATAAATTACCCAGTCTCAGGTGGTCTTTTATAGGAATGTGAGAAAGACTAATACCTCTTTCTATTGTTATTCTCACTTGACCTTCTAAATAATGCAGAATAGGAGAAAGCACTTTCCTCATTTTCATATGGGGAAGAGGGAGGCTCAGAGGTCAGTTGCCTGAAATCATGATGCTAGTTGGCATCATCAAGGTCCCGGGCTCAGAGCACAGGCTGGGCAGAGGTGAGTGGAGCCACAACTCTGAAGAAGTGTTTCCTGAAACTGCTGCAACCACACACAGAGCATAGATATCTAGATGAGTGGGAAAGACAGTAGGGGAAATGGCTTTATGATTGCAAATGGGTCTTTGTTCTTCATTAGCACCTCATTTATTTATTTAGGCATATTTATTTATTTATTTATTTATTTTTTGAGACAGGACCTGGCTCTGTTGCCCAGGCTGAAGTACAGTGGTGTGACTGCAACTCACTCTAGCCTTGACCTTCCAGGGTCAAGTGATCCTCTTGCCTCAGCCCCCTGCGTAGCTGGGACTACAGGCACATGCCACCATGCCTGGCTAACTTTTTAACTTTTTTGTAGAGATAGGGTTTTGCTATGTTGCCCAGGCTGGTGTCGAACTCCTGAGCTCAAGCAATCTGCCTGCCATGGCCTCCCAAAGGGCTGAGATTACAGGCATGAGCCACCATGCCTGGCCCCAGCACCATATGGAGAAGGATCAAAGACATCCTCGTTGACACCCAGTGTTTCTGGAATACTCTGTTTGTCTTTCCTGGCAAGGCTTAGGATGGCACTAGGGCCTGCTCCAGGTGGGGTGATAAATTATGAGGTTAGACTTGGAACAAGGGTACTGACATCTCATGAGATCCCCAAACAGGAACCATTTGTACCACGTCTCCTGGGACCAGGTCTGGGGTGGTTGCAGGATCTAAGGAGCTTGTGTATTGTATCTCCGGGTTTCCCTAGGAACATGGCGCAGGTTCTCATGGCATCCATTTCTCTTGGGGGCCTGTTCCACCACTCTCTCTTCATCCTTTTGCTCCTTGTGGCTTGTCACAAGCTGAGTTAGGTTTTCTCTTGGCCTCAACTGCCTCATGCCTCCCATAGCTCATTCTCCCCTTCCTGGCCTCCACACAGCAGGTCAGCCTCTGTTGCTCCCCTCTCTGTGTCCCCTGACTTGCACTTTCTTGGCTCAAGTCAAGGGCCCATCCTTGGTCCAGTCATCGAATGTCAGAGAGAATTGCACCGCAGGGTGCAAAACAAGGCTGTCCCATTGAGAAGGGCCATGGGCACAACCAGCACCACGATGGATCCCGCTCAGAAACCATGCAGAAGATTTGGACCTTGTGGCCACGAGCCCTCGAGTATTTGTTCATCTGCAGTCCCAAGAAATCTGTATTTCCTCTCCAGTAGGGATGTTCCCTAACATCGTAATGCAAATCACTTGAGGTTCGCCTGTGAGCAACTGAGCTACGAAGTTCAGGATCTCTTAGCCTCCTTCAGCTTACCAGAGTGAGAATGGCCCAGCCCACTCTTGTTGGTACCCAAGGTCTTTGACTTGCAGGGAACCGCACTGAATGCGAGTTGCTAGCTTCCAGGTGAGCATCTTCCGAGAGCTGTCAGATGGGTGCTCTGTGACGATCTGTTCAGCCCATTGCAACACTAGCTCCAACTCTTGGTGTAAAAGGTAAAGAGATGCTAAATCCAGCACTTATACATTTTCCTCAGTAAGTTACTATTATCCACAAGCCTTTAAAAATATGGCTTGCTTGGCAGGGCACAGTGGCTCAAGCCTGTAATCCCAGCACTTTGGGAGGCTGAGGCAGGTGGATCATGAGGTCAGGAGTTCAAGACCAGCCTGGCCAAGATGATAAAACCCCGTCTCTACTAAAAACTACAAAAAAATTAGCCAGGCACGGTGGCAGGTTCCTGTAATCCCAGCAATTCGGGAGGCTGAGGCAGGAGAATCGCTTGAACCCTGGCGGCAAAGGTTGCAGCGAGCCAAGATTATGCCACTGCACTCCAGTCTGGGAGACAGAGCAAGACTCTGTCTCAAAAAAAAAAAAAAAAAAAATGGCTTGCTCAAGAAGGCATTAGAGCTAAATCATCATTTATGTTTGTCACAGGGGTTGCAAATGTATAATGAGATTCCAGAGTTAATGTTTTGTACAAAGCACTTAGGAGAGCCGGGATGAAATTGGCTCAGAATTCTGATGTGGTGTTTTAATTAAAGATAGTTTCTAATCAAGGGTGGAGCAGAGGCTACTTACAAATGTCAGTGCATTGTCCCATCCACTGGTTCAGGGATGGGCGGGCGGCCTGTACTGCTGCCGGTAGAGAGAGCAGCAGCCGGGAAAATGCACTCAGCACACGGGAGTGAGGTGTTCACCTGGAGGTGCTGCTAGCCACCCGGGACCCCCGAGTGTGGCTACATCTCTGTCCCTGTGGACATCATCCTGGTGTGGCACCTCATGCAGGAGCTATGTTTCGGTGGAGCTGTGTGATGTCGAAGGGGTGCTACTGATTTTATGCAATAGACTGGGAGAGGGCTGGGCGGGTGAGCACACAGGCGTGACCTCTAGTGAGCTTCGACACCCCAGCCTCTGCGTCACTCTGAGAATTACAGCTTTGTAGCTTCGTATCCCTTTTCAGCAGGAGCCAGCATACCACTCCTCGCTCATTTCCCCGTGTGCTGGCCTCGCTCATTTTCTTTTGCAGGGACTTGTTCTGCTGAGAGAGTGACCTGGGCCCCGGCAGTCCCTGCAGCATTACTCCAAGCAATAACATTAATGGGGGTCTCGCGTTAGTATTTGAAGAGTCATCCGCTTCTGAAAAGTGTTGACGCAAAACCACGACGTCTAGGCAGGAAGTGGCCAATTGAACCAGGGCACGAGCTCTCATTTCATTAATGCTGTTGCTGTGAAGCCGAATTTCAGCTTAGGAAGTTAATTGAGTAAAATACTGAGAAACAGGCCTCTTAGTGCAAGGTCGCGTGACTAGTGGGTCTGGTGGGAATCATTCATGTACAGATTTGATGAAAATGATTTGTAGGGATTTCCTTGAATATTTAAGGTCATACATTAAAGTTTTAGATAGCCACTATGGTGGCTCTGGGACTGTCCCAGACCAAAGTATATCCTGTTAAGCTACAAAATGCATTTTGGGGGGTATATCACAGAATGATAAAAGCACACTTTGTTTTCTTTTTAAATCCAGGTCTCAGGCCTCCTGTTGGTTGATGTCATAGTCATTTTACTGTTAAATTGCATCAGTGTCTGCACAGGCACATTTTTGTGCGTGTGCGCGAGTTGGCCCTGTAGATGAGAACGACATTTCCCCTTCTCCAATTTAGAGAAGGCAGCAGGATTGCGAGGTGAGCCTCAGGGAAGAAGACATTCTGGATAGTTCACCCGAAGGCTTCTCTGGCTCCGGCACCTCAACCCCCACTTCCACTTCAGCACCTTGGTTTTCTGGTTTCTGAAAGGTTTTTGTTCTATGATCCCTTCCTGTGGAGTCAAGTTCTGTCTTTCATTAAAAGGCACATTCTCCGGGAGAGGACACATTTTCATCCTTATTGCTCATGACATTCTTCAAGTGGAGGCTGAGGACAGGGAGCTATTTCAGGAAGGGGAGGCTGGGGACCAAGCCTGCTCAGCCGACCATCTCTAAGGAAGCCCGGCCTCCAGCCATGCTCGCTGCCTTTCACCTGCGTTAGTTTGCTTGTTCCCATCCAGAACTTTCCCCTTTGAAGCTTCAGTCACAGGATAACATCACTATGAAACTACATCTTATATTTTAACATGTTGATTTCAATCAGCTTTTGTCAGCATTTTTGTCTCACTTGTTTTAACATAAAAAGCCAAATAGTTTTTCCATTTTCATGCATGATAGTCACTAAAATTATTTAGCAGCATTAGTTAATAACAGTCTGTCATCTAGAAAACTAGTTTGCATTTCATTTGGGAAAAAGATTTTAATAATTAAATATGATCAATAGTGGAATTACCATTCTAGCGAATATCTGAATCTGAGAAAGATGTCAATTTACACCTAGTGCTAGCACTATTTATTTCTTCAAAGGCTCTTATTTTAACAAGCTTAATTATCTTTATTTCTCTCTGATTCCATCTTCTTTCCCTTTCATATTTCGTTACTCATATAAACGCCTCCAGAGTAAGGCAGGATGGAGATATGTATTTTTCCCACTTGATATTAACATTAGGTAAGTCCCTTTAGTGATCTCTTGATCATTCATACAGTGTGTGGGCTGCAACTTTTTTTTTTTTTTTTTTTTTTTTGAGACAGAGTCTTGCTCTGTCACCCAGGCTGGAGTACAATGGCGTGATCTTGGCTCACTGCAAGCTCCGCCTCCCGGGTTCACGTTATTCTCCTGCCTCAGTCTCCCGAGTAGCTGGGACTACAGGCGCCCGCCACCACGCCTGGCTAATTTTTTTTTTTTGTATTTTTAGTAGAGATGAGGTTTCACAGTGTTAGCCAGGATGGTCTTGATCTCCTGACCTCGTGATCCACCCGCCTCGGACTCCCAAAGTGCTGGGATTACAGGCTGAGCCACCGTACCCGACCGGCGCTGCAACTTTTTTTAGAAAGTATACCCGATTGAAGAAAAGTGGGTAAATCCCACCATCTTAAGTTCAGGACTCAGTCAAAGGAACTGGGCTTAGTTGGTGCCTAGCCCAGCACTTTTCGCTTCCACTCAGTCGGTTCTTTACTAACGCCAGCAACGACGGCTGTTAAGTGGAAGGCGGTCAGCAAAGGTACTCAGGCCGGGTCCTCCCTGCAGTATGACTCTATAAAAACAACCACCAGAGCTCTCTTAGTTGCCGTTTGCTTATCAATATGAAAATACTGCATATTTCCCACAGAAGTGTTTTCATATGAACACTTTTGTCTGATTCTTACAATCTCCATTTGAACCATCATTGTGAAGGCCTCTGCTTTTCTCCCCAGGGACATAGCCTTTCCTCCCTCTGAAGGCCTGGCCACCAGGAACATTATTAGTTAGAGGCACCAGAAGAGGAGCTCGTACTCCAAAGAGAACAATACCCCCAGATACACCAACGCGTGCCTCTGCAATGCAGACAGAAGGGAGGAGTGGCCTTCTCAAACTTTCTCCCGCCCCCAGCCCATTTTAGGTGTCCTGGGAACTCTGCCCTGCCTGGGGCCCACTGATGCTTTCAACAGTCTCAAGGATAGAAAGTAGCTGGGCTTAAATCTTTATAATTGTTTCCTGTTATTTCTACTTATAACAAAAGCAAAATTTATATGTACATTATATGTACATATACATATATGTATACATATATATGCATATATATACATATATACAAAATATATATGTATATATATTTAAATATGTATATTTAAAATATATATATATTTTGAGATGGAGTCTCGCTCTGCTGCCCAGGCTGGAGTGCTGGTGCAATCTCGGCTCACTGCAACCTCTGCCTCCCAGGTTCAAGCAATTCTCCTGCCTCAGCCTCCTGAGTAGACGGGATTACAGGCGTGCACCACCACACTCAGCTAATTTTTTTCTGTTTTTAATAAAGATGGGGTTTCACCATATTGGCCAGGCTGGTCTCGAACTCCTGACCTTGTGATCTGCCCACCTTGGACTCCCAAAGTGCTGGGATTACAGGTGTGAGCCACTGTGCCAGGCCAAAAAAACATACTTTTATTTATAGCCTGTAGCTTCAGGTTGAGAAACTGTGTAGGCATTTAGTGGAGATGAAATTTACTGACAATTAAATCAGTTTCTAGGAAGCATGGGTAGCCCTCACTTCCTCTGCCTGGATCTGCACATCTGCACACCTAGAGTTCCGGGAAGACCAGGCAGCCCATGAGGCAAGTGGACCCAGGTATGGGTAGACTATGGGTGCAGGTGGACCTCAGGTGTAGGTAGACTATGGGTGCAGGTGGACCTCAGGTGTGGGGAGATTACGGGTGCAGGTGGACTATGGATGCAGGTGGGCCTCAGGTGTGGGGAGACTACGGGTGCAGGTGGACTATGGGTGCAGGTGGACTATGGATGCAGGTGGGCCTCAGGTGTGGGTGGACTATGGGTGCAGGTGGACGTCAGGTGTGGGGAGACTATGGGTGCAGGTGGACTATGGGTGCAGGTGGGCCTCAGGTGTGGGGAGACTATGGGTGCAGGTGGACTATGGGTGCAGGTGGGCCTCAGGTGTGGGGAGACTATGGGTGCAGGTGGACTATGGGTGCAGGAGGACTATGGGTGCAGGCGGGCCTCAGGTGTGGGTGGACTATGGGTGCAGGTGGGCCTCAGGTGTGGGGAGACTATGGGTGCAGGTGGACTATGGGTGCAGGTGGACTATGGATGCAGGTGGGCCTCAGGTATGGGTGGACTATGGGTGCAGGTGGGACTCAGGTGTGGGGAGACTATGGGTGCAGGTGGACTATGGATGCAGGTGGGCCTCAGGTGTGGGTGGGCCACAGGTACAGGAGGACTCTACATTGAAGCTGCACAGCTGCCACTTCTGCCCTAAAGGGTGCTCCCCTGGGAGAAGGTAGCCAAGCAGGACAGCGGCTTCTCTTGCTGGTTTCATACATCGTGCTTTGGAAATCTTTAATAAACAGAATGTCATGCAAGAATGAAAGCACATAAACAAACTTCTCAGCAAAACCTCGTTTCCCCTGCCTGTGATGTTGCTGCTTGTTATCTGTTCTGCTCCAGCGTCGGTGATGGGCAGGCTCATTCCAGGCAGCATGGGACGTGGACTTTGCAGAGGGCCCACCCTAGCGCCTCTCCTCTGCTGGGACACCCAGCCAGCTTCAAGGGCCTTTCCAGGGACTCTGTGAGGAAGGGATGACCGGAGGGGAGAGGAAAGAGGCACTTCCACAAAAATTTTTTTAAAGAAGACAGAATGAAAGCTGCTTTTCTTTAGTGTATAGATTAATGGAAGGAGCAGGTGGAGACACTGGGAGCTAATGAATCTGACGTCCCACCTGCAGCTGAGGACAGACCACCTGCCAGCCCCCTTCTATGGCTGTCTGTTTGGGGGTACAAGGAGAATGTCTTGTGCAAAAGTCTTGCTTGCTTTGGAAATGAGGACTTTACAGATGTCATATCCATAAAATCTTCCTAAAGTGGGGAAGGGACAGGGGAAGACCAAGAGAAAAGGGGTGAGATGCCTGCATTCAGATAAATTAACAGGAAAGTGCATTTTTGTCTTTACTCAGAAAGCAGTGTGTACAAGTGGTGACATAAAACTATGTTAACTTTGCAGCTGGGAGATGCACACGCCTCAGGTCGTGTCCGAAGGCAATCTGTGGTGAGCAGCTGCTCTGCCAAATCCACCAGGAGCAGGTGAACACAGGAGCTGAATCCCACTTCATGCCTCACTCAGGGCAGCCCAGGTTGCTGCTGTGTGATAATACACATCATAACCGCAATAATAACACAGAGAATCCTATTTAATAATAACAAACGTGATAAACACTGTCAAGACGGATGACAGATGTTGCCCCTCCATGAAGAGCTGAGCGCATAGCACATGTCGAGCCAGCGCTTCATTTGCATCAGTGTCCCAAAGTGTGGCTGCATCAAAGTCACCTGGAGGGCTGATTACAACACAGGCTGCCTCGGCCCAGTCCCAGAGATTCCGATTCAGCAGGTCCAGGGCAGGGCCTGAGGATTTGCCTTTTTAACCAGTTCCCAGGTCATGCTGGTGTTGCTGACTCAGGGATGACACTTTGAGAACCACTGATCTACGTTAATTAATTTAATCCTTATAACAAGCCTATAAACTAGCAGTGCTTATTATCTCCATTTTACAGCTGAGATAGCTCAGACAGAGAGGGTTTAAGCAACTTGCCAGTACTCCAATCCCAGTGGGTCTGCCTCTGAAGCGTGTGCCTGGGACCACATGCTCCATGGGACATAAATACCACATGAGGTCAGCAAAAGTGGCTGTTCCCTGAAGCATCATCTTAGAGCCCCCAGACATGTGGGGTTTAAAGAGGCCTCTAAAAGCCAGCCTTGGTCATGGTCTTTGAGAACTACCTTAGAGTTCCCATAATCTCTCAGTGTTCCCATAATCCCTCAGTGTGCCCATAACTCCTTAGAGTTCCCATAATCCCTCAGTGTTCCCATAATCCTTGAGTGTTTTCATAATCGCTTAGTGTTCCCATCATCTCTGTGTTCCCATAATCCCTGAGTGTTTTCATAACTCCTTAGAGTTCCCATAATCCCTCAGTGTTCCCATAATCCCTCAGTGTTCCCATAATCCCTGAGTGTTTTCATAACCCCTTAGAGTTCACATAATCCCTCAGTGTTCCCATAATCCCTGCGTGTTTTTCATAAACCTTTGGAGTTCCCATAATCCCTGAGTGTTCTCATAATCGTAACAAGCTTTCTCCTCACGTGGAGCCCGCAGGGCACCAAGTAATAGCAGTGATAGTTAATGGGCTTGCAGGTGTACTTGATTGCCCAGTAATAAACTTGAATCCTCTGACACACTTGTTTCATGGGCATGACTGCTCGTTTTGGCAAGAGGGCTCAGATAGTACCCTTTGCTGAGAGAAATGAAAGGCACCAAATGTTATTTCTATTCTGCTTTACCTAAAAGCAATTATTTTCAACTTCCTATTCTCATACAAAATAAGTTTTCAGAGCACAATAACTAGCCATTGCTAATGAATTTAAATATTGGTCTATTTCATACATGTATTTTCATTCTAAGTGTCTTATGTTTTAATTTAAAAAATCTTGAATGATAGATTTAATCTCAACATCAGCCTTAAACCACCTGGAGGAGAACTTAAAATTTACAAGCGAGTACATGGAATGGGTCCTTTACAATTTAAGTGTTTTAGAACTTGTTGGAGTCCCCAGAGTGCCCTTCATCCGCTACACATCTGCACTAGGTGCTTACAGACGTTTCTTGTTTATCATTAAACTTTGTTTTCAGACTCTGAATCTGGTCTCCAACCAGAGGACAATCTCTCCATTATCTCTAAAGGAATACAACTCTAAAATTACCCCAGCGATAGAGCCCAGTTGCTCTGTGTAGCCCACCTTGGAAGCAAAGGCATTCTTTTAGCCAGGCAACTATTTTAATCTGCAAAAGAGGCACATAGGTGAGTATGCCTATGATACCCTGCTATGGTTTGGATATTTGTCCCTCCAAACCTCGTGTTGAAATTTGGTCCCCAGTGTTGGAGGTGGGGCCTAATGGGAGGTGACTGAGTCATGGGGGTAGATCCCTCATGAATAAGAATAATGCCCCCACTGTGGCTGAGTTCTCACTCTTAGTTTCCTTGGGACCTGCTAATTAAAGAGAGCCTGGTCCCTCTCCCCTCTCTCTCTGGCTTTCTCTCTCACCGTGTGATCTCTGCACATACTGGCTCCCTTCTGCCTTCAGCCATGAGTAGAAGCAGCCTGAGGCCCTCACCAGATGCAAATGCTCAGTTTTGAATTTTTCAACCATCAGAATTGTGAGCCAAATAAATCTTTTTTCTTTATAAATTTCCCAGCCTCAGGTATTCTTTTATAGGAACACAAGACAGACTAAGACACACCCAGATGTAATAAAGAGACACAATAAGCCTCCCCAAACTCAATTGCTTCATTCTCACACTGTCTGGACTGCAGGTTACCCAGGCTGGCTGACATAGGCTGGGTGGGGCTGAGCAGCTGAAGGCAGCAGCCACCTGGGGTCTTGCTCTTCTCACGGTGGATGAGTGGATCACATGCCAGGCGCCTGCTGCCTCATGCTCACTAAATTCACTACGCCAAGCTATGCTCATGGCAGAGCCTTTTTCAAAGGACCAAAGAAGTATATGCTCCCTCAGTGGAAGGAGGAAGAGAATGTTTACTGAACAATAATCTACCCTGTCAAACTTACCATGTCTTACAGTTCCATGAAAAAAAAAATTGATCAGTTCAATGAGAAATAAATTAAACTGGTAATTTGCATAGTTTAACTTACTTAATAGCTGCTTTCTTGCTGGAGAAAGCTAGCCCTAGGATGATGATGTTGTTGAACAATGGCAGTTTTAATATTTTTCCATTTGATTCACAGGAGTGAGCGAATCCCTGAAGCAGACAGTGTGTGTTCTACAGAGGGCCTTTCAGTCTCTATTTACCGACTTTGTTTTACCGTAATTGGGATACACATGTTTTGGCTTCAGGACACCAAAGCTGAGAATTGTTTTGGGCAAAAACATCTATGATGTTACTTCAAAAGGCAAATCATACCACCTGTTTGAAAAGAGCTAGATAAAACAATTTGTGTTGGGCTAATTTTTTTCATTTTGAGCTTCTTTTAGGGCTTGGGCTTAGGCTGTGATCAGCCTAAGATTGGCTGGGTTGAAAGACATCATCATTTTCCCTGTTGCAGGTGCAGGATATTAGGGTGGGCCCCGTCTCTGACTGCTCAGCTCAGCCTCCACCGCTGAGAGTTTGATGGCCCCGAGCCTGGAACACCATGAGAAAAAGGGAGTGAAAAGGAGTGTATCTCCTGGATGTAGGGAGGCTCCGAAAGGCCTGGAGCTTTTCTGTGTTGTGCCTGATCCCAGAGTCACTGGGACAATGGCCTTTAGCTTTCTTCTGGGGTCACGGACCCCTTTGAGATTCTCATGGAAGCTATGATTTCCCTTACAGAAAAATACACACACACACACACACACACACACACTTTACCACTCTAATATCACCTTGAATCTCATATTGTTTTCTAGAATTTTAGATGCAAATCGACATAGACACGCAGACTTTTTTGAGTATAGGTATATATCATCTCAAGTTCCTGCTTAGATTTGCCAAGGTTTATTGATTTCTGACCCCATTGCTGGGGTTCATTTTTTGCTTTGTTAGGTATGTCCTTGAGCATTTCATTCAGCAAAGGTTCCTACGGGTAGTAGTTCTTGTCTGCATATGTCTGAAAGTGCCTTAATCTCAGCTCCATCTTGAATAAGAAATCAGGTGGGCGTGGCCTGCTCAGTGAGAAGCTCTTTTTCCCCAGCACCATGCATGTGTTACTCCACTGTCTCCTGGAGTGGAATGAGCTCAAAGAAATGAGCTCCTATTTCTTTGGTCTGTCTCATGTGGGTTTCTTCCATCGGCTGAATTTCCTTGCGCTGTCTGTTACTTCTGTTTGAGAGCTTGTAGTTTTTGGAGTTTCCTCCTGTGTGCATCTCTCTCAGCTTCCTTTCGGGGCTGTTTCATGGTTTCTGGTTGGTGGAGAGATTTTGGTTGCTCTGAGGAGCAGGAGGCACGGACACTCCTTCAGGATGGGTTGTGCCAACCTTGATCTGCTCCTGACTCCCAGAGAGCTCTGTGGTCTTGACCTCAATCTGTTTGGGCTCATAGTGAGGTTCTTGTTTTGAGTGAGCCTGTGTACTTTAAAATATGTGTAAGATATTTAATCTCTTATGTCAATGTGTTTGGAGAGAGGTGGAGAAGATGAGGTTCTCTGTGTGCTTTCTTCCTGCTGAAAGGTGGCCCTCCAAAAGATGTGTCCGTGGAAGTCTGAGGCGGGCAGATCACTTGACGTCAGGAGTTCAAGACCAGCCTGGCCAACATGGTGAAACCCTGTTTCTACTAAAAATACAAAAAAATTAGCCAGGTGTGGTGATGTGCACCTGTAATCCCAGTTACACAGGAGGCTGAGGCAGGAGAATCACTTGAACCCGGGAGGTGGAGGCTGCAGTGGGCCGGGATCATGCCACTACACTCCAGCATGGGCGACAGAGCCAGACTCCATCCCCGCCCCCAAAAAAGATATGTTCACATCCTAACCCCTAGATCCTGTGAATGTGGTCTTATTTGGAAAAAGGATCTTTCTTTGCAGATGTAATTAGTTAACGATTTTCTGACAAGATCTTCCTAGATTATTCAGGCAGGCCCTAAATGCAGTGTCAAGTGTTCTTAGAACAGACAGGAGAGCAGGAGACACTCACACAGAAGCAGAGGCCTTGTGATGATGGAGGTGGAGACTGGAGGGAAGCAGCCAGCAGCCAGGAACACCTGGAGCCGCTAGAAGCTGGGAGAGGCAAGGGCAGATCCTCCCCAGAGCCTTTGGAGGAAGTGTGGCCCGGCTGGCACCGCGATTTCAGGTTTCTGGCCTCCAGAACTGTGAGAGGATAAATTTCTGTTGTTTCAAGACCCCAGTTCGTGGTCATTTGTTACAGTAGCCCCAGGCTGCGATCAACTTTAATGAACATTTATTGATTTTATTTTTATTATTTTTTTACTTTTAGGTTCAAGGGTACATATGCAGGTTTCTTACACAGGTAAACTCATGTCACGGGGGTTTGTTGTACAGATTATTTCATCACCCAGGTACTGAGCCTAGTACCCAATAGTTCTTCTTTCTGCTCCTCTCCCTCCACCCTCCACTCTCTGATGGGCCCCCGTGTCTGTTGTTCCCCTCTTTGTGTCCATGAGTTCTCATCATTTAACTCCCACGTGTAAGTGAGAACATGCGGTATTTGGTTTTCTGTTCCTATGTCAGTTTGCTAAAGACGATGGCCTCCAGCTCCATCCATGTTCCTGCAGAAGAATGACCTCATTGCTTGTTATGGCTGCATAGTATCCCATGGTGTATATGTACCACATTTTTGTTATCCAATCTGTCATTGACGGGCATTTAAGTTGATTCCATGTCTTTGCTACTGAGAACAGTGCTGCAGTGAACATTCACGTGCATGTGTCTATAGAGTAGAATGATTAGTTTAAATGGGCAGGGCTGAGACCTATGACTGTTTGTCCTTGCTCCATTCCAGGCATACGGCTCTCTTCTGGTACCCACAGTCTCCAAGCCTTGGCCAGAGAGGAATGGCCTGCCTTTCCTTTTTGGAAACGTCTCCAATCAATCTCTTGTGTATCGCATTATCTTTCCGGTGTTCTGCCTTTCTCCAAACGCCCCCGTGCGTTTTCAAGGTTTATAGACGCGTATCTTGAACTTTAGGTGTTGAGATTTTTTGGTCCATCTTTGACAACACATCTGCAGGAAGAAAGCATGAGTTGATCAAAAAGGAAGAAAAAGCTACAAAATCTAGGGCATTATTATTCAGAGGACATTTTCTGGTAGAGTTAGGATAAATTTTTTCCAATAAATTAATTTTACAGACTTTTAAGACAGAGCTTTTAGATTAATGGAAATATTACTTAAATTTAAGTTCAGCCCATTAAGTCATCAATCATATTGTTGTTGTAACATCATGTATTTCATGTTCATGACACACACAAATAAAAAAGAAACGACCCAAGAAAGTGATTTGCTTTACTGCTTGGGGTGACCAGAGCCAAATGCTTGAAAAGATTTTTACCGTTAGTGGCTAAAGCTGAGAGCTTTAACCTGGAGCTGCCGCGAGCTGCCAGAGCAGAGGATGAAGCACGGTCGGATGAAGATCTGCAGCCTCAGGATGAAGATCTGCAGCCTCAGGATGAAGATCTGCAGCCTCAGGCGACGCTCTTCAGTGCGACAAGGAGGAAGCAACTTCCATATTCCCCACACGGAGTAAGAACGCAACTTCCTTACGCGCGTCTGTTTTCTATCTTCCTCCATTCGATTTTTCTTCAGTTTCCCTAATACATTAATTAGCTGATTCCTATTCTAAGTCCTTTGCTCATTTTATTTTCTTCTCTGCTTCCCTCCAGTTCTGCTCAGTTTGTGCTACCCCTGAGTCTGGAAGACTGACATTTTCTCCGCTCTCAACTTCCTCTGCTCTTTCCCATGCAGTTCCGGTTCTCACTGTGGCCTTCAGCTCAACCTAGTGCTTTCCTGCACATTAGAAAAGCCATGCCCATTTTGGATGGGTGAACTGCAAAATGCTTCCTGCTCTGGGTGGTCATAGACCCGTTGTAATAGTCCGTTCTCACACTGCTAATTACCCACGGAGACTGGGTAATTTACGAAGAAAAGAGGTTTAGTTGACTCACAGTTTCACAGGCTGTACAGGAAGCATGGCTGGGAGGCCTCAGAAAACTAACAATCATGGCGGAAGGCGAAGGGGAAGCAAGCACCTTCACGTGGGGGCAGGAGAGAGAGAGAGAGAGAGTGAGAGAGAGTGAAGGGAGAAGTGCCACACACTTTTAACCATCAGTTCTCGTGAGAACTCCTCACTATCACAAGAACAGCAAGGGGGAAATCCACCCCATGGTCCAATCAACCCCCACTAGGCCCCTCCTCCAATTCCATATGAGATTTGAGCAAGGACACAAGTCCAAACCATATCACCCATATTGTTTTGGACTGAATGTTTGTGTCCCCACAAAATACACATATTGAAATCCTAACCCCCCCAGGTGATGGTATTAGGATGGTTTTAGGGATCACTTTTGGGAGGTGACCAGGTCATGAAGCTTCATCAGGGAGTTTATACGAGAGCCTCCAGAGAGCTCCCTGGCCCTCTTTCTGACATGTGAGGACACAGTGACAAAATGGCCTTCTATGAACCAGGATGTGGGCTCTCACCAGACCCCAATCATGCTGGCACCCTGATCTTGAACTTCCAGTCCCCTGACTGTGAGAAGTAAGTTTCTGGTGTTCATAAGCCACGACCTATTCAGTTACAGCAGCCAGAATGGACAAAGCCACATATGCCCAGAGCCCAACCAGGGGTACAGGGTGGATCTGCACCCCATTTAGGCCCGTGACTGAGTGACTTTGTGCAGCACAGATGCAGCACACTCATCTTGGTGTCCCTGCCCCGCCATCTCCACTGCCCCTTCCTCAATCCGTTGGGCTCTTTGCTCCTCGCTGGCCTGTCCACCACTGGACCCTCTGCTCCACCTTTCAAATGTGCTCCTTGTGGTGCCCTTGAGTCCTTTTCCTCCTTTTCTACACATCCCGTGGGTGTGTAGACAAGACTGCTCTCAGGTGTGCCATGGGCCCCTCAGCCTGGTATATGTACCTGGCAGGATGGCGCTGCCACCCCCAGGACGCCTTTTCCAAGAGCTCCATAGGTGACTGTTGAATGGATGAACGCGTTGCTTCCTGATGTTAAAACTTTAGCCTAGAGCTGCTTCCTTGTAAGTTGGGCCTAAAGGTTTCTTTGTACATAGTGAGCTATCACTTAGGTGGACATGTAAACAGACTGTAATTAATCTACTCTTGTACCAGTCCCTGAGTTTTGGCCAATCGCAGGTGGTCAACCACTCAAACAAGGCAAACGCCCAGCTGTCACTAATCCGGCTGTGTCTGCACCTGACTTCCGTTTTCTGGGCATCACTTTCCTTTCTCTGTTCATAAATCCTCTCCCACTCTGTGGCAGCACGAGAGTCTCTCTGACCCTATTCTGGTTCGGGGGTTGCCCGATTTGCGAATCATTCCTTGCTCAATTAAACTCTGTTAAATTTAATTTGTCTAAAGTTTTTCTTTTAACACTGCCAACCAACCCATCAATCTCCCGTGGCTTTCTCTCCCTGCTGCTGCGTGGTGCTGAGGAAGTTGTCATACAGACGAGCTGACAATCCAAATTCCTGCAGGAAGACGTGGCCTGCCTGCCTCAGTGCTGCTGGGACAACCTTTGACTCATTTCAAAATGACCTCTTCTTGGCCAGGCGCAGTGGCTCTCGACTGTAATCCTAGCACTTTGGGAGGTCGAGGTGGGTGGATCACCCGAGGTCAGGAGTTCAAGACCAGCCTGGCCAACAATGTTGAAACCCCATCACTACTAAAAATACAAAAATTAGCCGGGCATGGTGGCTCATGCCTGTAGTCTCAGCTACTCAGGGGGCTGAGGTAGGGGAATCACTTGAACCCAGGAGGTGGAGGTTGCAGTGACCCGAGATCGCCCCTCAGAAAAATTTTAAAAAACCAAAAAAACCCCAAAAAACAAACAAAAAACCCCAAAATGACCTCTTCTCAAAGGTCCCATAGAATGTATCACCAAAATCCCCACTCTTCTCCAACTCCTCCATGAACATCCAGTTTCTGGAAGAGGATGTCTTAACTCCTACCTTACCAAATAAACTTGCAGAAACTCGAGGCCATCTGAGTTCTTCCAACTTCGATGTTGTTCATTTTCGTTATATCCTCATGCACTTTCGATGCCTCCTTCACACCTCAGAAAGAGATGAGTTCTTTCTTCTCCACCAGGCTAACCCTTCCATGTAGACCATGAATCAAAGCGTTGACCGTCTCTTCTGCACATGGGCTGGCCCTGTCTTTGCTGTGGATTGAATCTCTTGTGCCTTCTCCTTTGCCTCCATTCCCCATACTGGTCCCTTTTCTGGTCCTCACTGCCTCTGACCTGGCTTTGGCAGCAGTTTCTCATCAGGGTGGACCTTCTCCAAGTGCTCCTCCTTCAACCCTTACACACTCTAGCTTTGTCCTTCAAAAGCACTTTTTTTTTTTTTTTTTTTTTGAGACAGAGTCTCACTCTGTTGCCCAGGCTGGAGTGCAGTGGCACGATCTTGGCTCACTGCAACCTCTACCTCCCGGGTTCGAGTGATTCTGTTGCCTTAGCCTCCTGAGTAGCTGGGATTATAGGCGCGCGCCACCATGCCTGGCTAATTTTGTATTTTTAGTAGAGACGGGGTTTCACCACGTTGGCCAGGCTGGTCTTGAACTCTCAACCTCAGGTGATCTGCCCTCCTCAGACTCCCAAAGTGCTGGGATTACAGGCGTGAGCCACCACGCCCAGCCCCAAAGCACAATTTTTGTTAAAGCACTTCCACTCCAAAGGAAAAAAATCAGTTAAAGCCTTACCAGTTACTTATACACAATGGATTCCAAATTCCATAGCCTGCCCTTCATGGGTCTACATAGTCTGAGTTCAATGGGAAACTGCAGCCTTAATTTCCATAATTTCCCCATTTTTACCACAGCCAGTGGAAATGTTTTCTCTTGTTCAGTTGTACCCATGGTTGGAGCCTCATTTTTTATTCATGTGTACGTGCTACGTGACGTGCTTTTTCTCAGCATCCACATACCAGAATATTACTGAACTCCGTAGTGCAGGTGAACAGCCACCTTTTCCTCTAAGCCCATACTCTACCCTCCCTGTGAACAGAGGCCTCTGCCTTCTCTGAATTCATTCAGCCTGTCATGATCTCTTCCTTGTGACCTTTCTTACTTCTTGTGATGTTGTTTGTATACTCATGCCTTATCACGCCTTCTGAACCATAAACTTCTTGGAGGGCATGACCCCAATAGGGTCATCTTTGTGTGTTCAAAGTCCCTTCCCCACAGGAGGGTTTTTTTTTTTTAATTTAACTCAGTATTTTTTCTTATTTATTTATTGTCCATCTAAGAAAATGCCTGTTTCTTAAAAGCATTTAGGGCAACTTGGCCGGGCGCGGTGGCTTACGCTTGTAATCCCAGCAGTTCGGGAGGCCGAGGCGGGCAGATCATGAGGTCAGGAGATTGAGACCATCCTGGCTAACACAGTGAAACCCCGTCTCTACTAAAAATACAAAAAATTAGCCGGGCATCGTGGCAGGCGCCTGTAGTCCCAGCTACTCGGGAGGCTGAGGCAGGAGAATGGCGTGAACCCGGGAGGCGGAGCTCGCAGTGAGCCGACATCACGCCACTGCACTCCAGCCTGGGTGACAGAGCGAGACTCCGTCTCAAAAAAAAAAAAAAGAAGCAGAAAAAAAAAAGCATTTAGGGCAACTTACAATAAAGGCCAAAACACAGGATGAGATTGGTAAAATAAATCCAAAAATCGGAAGGCACAGGAGACAGTGGTGAGAGGTTTGAGCAGACAATTCACACACACAAGGTGTTGAGCTGGCCAAAGGCTCAGGGAAAACCCTCTGCTTCACTAGCAAGCTAAGACACAAAATGAAAGTAGCTGGCTGGGCGTGGTGGCTCACACCTGTAATCCCAGCACTTTGGGAGACTGAGGTGGGCAGATCACCTGAGGCCAGGAGTTCGGGACCAACCTGGCCAACATGGTGAAACCCCGTCTCTACTAAAATACAAAAATTAGCTGGGTGTGGTGGCACATGCCTGTAATTCCAGCTACTCAGGAGGCTGAGGCATGAGAATTGCTTGAACCTGGGAGGCCGAGGTTGCACTGAGCCGAGATCACACCACTGCACTCCATCCTGGATGACAGAGCGAGACTCTATCTCAAAAAAAGAAACAAAAACAAAAACAAACAAACAAAAAACAACGAAAGTAGCCATGTATTCCTATTTTTTAACTATTTTGTGGGCAACCGGTAGAGGAAGATCACAGTCCCCAGTGTGGAAGAAGTTGTAGGAAGTGAACACTTTTATGTACCAGTATTGGTGTTTATGTTTATCATAAACTTCCTGTAGGCTACTTTGTCAATGTTTACAAAAATGTAAATATTGTTGGGTCTAGCAATTTTACCTATTAGAAATATATATATATATAAATTTTTATTTTGAAACGGAGTCTAGCTCTGTTGCCCAGGCTGGAGTGCAATGGCACAATCTTGGTTCACTGCAACGTCTGCCTCCTGGGTTCAAGTGATTCTCCTGCCTCAGCCTCCCGAGTAGCTAGGATTACAGGCACCCACCACCACGCCCAGCTAATTTTTGTATTTTTTTAGTAGAGATGGGGTTTCACTGTGTTGGCCAGGCTGGTCTTAAACTCCTGACCTCATGATCTGCCCACCTCGGCCTCCCAAAGTCCTGGGATTACAAGGGCAAGCCACCGCACCCAGCCACTTCTTAGAAATATTTCTATGGAAATAATTGTGGATAAGCACAGATATTAAGTAACATAATTGAAATATAACTATTTGTCTTTTTTCTTGCGCTGAACACATTTATCCTATTGTCATTGATATAATTATTATTTTTTCATCCCTAATATATGGAGTTTCAAAATGACAATATTAACACTGCAACTAGTGAAAAATAGAGACAGCACTTTGGGATGGCTTTGAAGTGTTTTGGCTTTAGGATATATCCCATTAGGGACATACCATCAGAATATTGTGTTTTAAGGTTATTATAAGAATTATTCTCTGTGTGGATATGACACCAGTTGGATATTCTTTTGATTTCAGTGTTATGAAAGATCACTTTTTAAAAAATTTAATTTTGCTCTTTAAAATTTGAAAAACATGATATGGATTCAAAGCCAGCACTCTTTGGAGAGGTGTCTTCAGTGAGGTCCAACTCCTGTCCTCACTCCTCCCCCATGTCTCCTGGATTCCTACCTCACTCCCCGCCCCTCACCGCCCCCCCCCGCCTTTTTGTTTTTTTGAGACAGAGTCTCGCTCTGTCACTCGGGCTGGAGCGCAGTAGTATGATCTCAGCTCACTGTAACCTCCACCTCCCAGGTTCAAGCAATTCTCGTGCCTCAGCCCCTTAAGTAGCTGGGATTACAGACATGTGCCACCACACCCAGCTCATTTTTTTTGTATTTTTAGTAGAGACAGGGTTTCACCATGTTGCCCAAACTGGTCTCGAACTCCTGAGCTAAGGTGATCTGCCTGCCTTGGCCTCCCAAACTGTTGGGATTACAGACGTGAGCCAGTGCGCCCAGTCTTCCTTTTTTTTTTTTTTTTTCCATAAATGGTAACATCCTGGTAATACTGTCCTCCATCTTCATTTTTCACTTAATCTATCTTGTAGATCACTGCATAGCCATAGAGAGAATTTGCTTTTCCTTTCACAACTACATAGTATTCTGTTGTATCAGGGTTTAATATATTTGACTCCCTATCAATGGACATTTCAGTTAACAGTCTTCATAATCATGGACAGTACCAAGTAAGTGGCCTCGTGAAGGTGTCCTTTTGTGTTTTTGCCAGTGTGCCTGTGGTACAGGCTCCTAGATATGGGACCGATGGATCAAAGAGGTGATGCAGATGTCATTCTGTCAACTCCTGCTGAACCCCCTCTACAGGGGCTGTGTTATCCTTTGCGTTCCCACCAGCAGTGGATGAGTGCCTCTCCCTCCAGCTTTGTCTGCAGTGTGTTGTCAAGCTGTGAGATTTCTGCTAATGTAATTGATGAGAAATGGCACCTCAGTATAGTTTCAACCAGTGGTCCTCTTATTTTTAGCAAAGTTGAGCAGCTTCTCTTCTGTGTCACTTGCGTCTCTTTCTAAGGAACTGTCTCTTCATATGTCTTTCCCATTTTCCTTTAGTCTTAAGGGTCAAAACAATTTAGAGCACGCTTTAGTCTTAAGGGTGAAAACAATTTTCATTCCTGTTTTTTCCTGCTACCTTCTTTGGCTGTGAGGAGATGGTGGGACCCAGGGAATGACATAGCCTATCAAAACAGAAGCCTTACATTTACATAGTTACCAGTTTTATTTAAAGAACTTGGACTTCCTCAACTGTCAATTAGATCTAATGACTGATATTTCATGGTGTCAATCCCTCCAGTCAAAGACGACCAGGAGCACGGTTGACAAGTTGGGTTTTTTCTTGAGGGAGAACACACACCAGTGGGAACATAGGCACTGCAGTAAGTGGGAGTGAGAGAGGACTGATGGGACCTGGGCTTTGGCTGGGTTATTCTAGGGGGCTTGAGAAGGCAGAGCTTTGCTCTGGGCAGGATGCTGCAGGAAGTGGGGGTGATTGCATGACTGAGCATCTTAATAAATCTCTGCAGGAGGGAAGACCAGACCAGGCTAAGGCTATCATTATGTAGAGAATTGGGCGTCACCCATATTAGCCTGGACACAGGAATGCTGGCTATTTTGTGGCCCAGACAATGTCTGTGTTTTGCTTGTGCTGATGGTGCTTAACCATTAGAAACCACCCCCATGGTCCAGTCAGCTCCCACCAGGCCCCACCTCCAACACCGGGGATCACAGTGCAACATGAGATTTGGGTGGGGACACAGAGCCAAACCATATCAGGAATAATCTTGTTCGTGTCTTGATCCATACTGTCACAAAATGGCCTTGTCGGTAAATGTGTGATGTGACATCTTGTGAAATTGTTCAGCAAGAGAACACCAAAGCTCACCAGGCCAGCTCACAGCGGCACCAGCGCCTGGAAGACAGGGCCTGGGCAGCTCTGCTCTTCTCAATGGGCGCCTGCAAGAAAGCCTTGGCCCTGTCCTATTTGTAATGTTGTAGTGCTGAGTGACCTATATGTAATGTTGAGTGATTATAACCCCGAGGGAGATGACAGTGCCATATTTTGGCACTTATTTCACATCATATTGTGTAGTATCTCATCACACTGTGTTCCACCTGAGAGAGGGTCAGCATCCAGCACACAGTCACCCATCTTTCTGGCTCAGCCTTTCAATATCCTGGAGGTCTTGTTAAAGTGATTTGGCTAAAGGGAGCGGGATCTGGCTTCCAAGAGAAATCTGACTCAGGAGGGAGAAAAGGAGAGGAGGAGAGGAGAGAGGCCATCTGCCCTGGGGGTAGTGGGGAGTCAGCTCCAGAGCTGGGAATTCGGAGGGCTGGGAGTCCCCCACTTTTCTACTCTTTTCCTTAAAATCTGCCCCCCTCCACTTCTGAAAGTGTATCCTCCTCTAGGGTAAATGTAAATAAATAATAAACCAGAGAAAAGAGGCTTGAGCACACTTGTAATCTGGGGAATTGGAAGTAGAAGTCATTCTTCTGTTTCAGAAGGCTCTCACAAGGAGACTGCGGTTACCACGCTTCCTGAAGTACATCTTGGTCTGATGAAAAACTTTAATACAACATGTAAGACTCTGGAACATCTCATGACATAAACAATTCATACTTTAGGTTTTAAAAATAACATATTAGACCAATGAGAATGTAGACATTTAGGTAATTAGAAGGAGCACCACACTCGAACACTGAAGACAGGATTGCAGCCACCTGGAAAGTGACATCACTTTTCTGAAATTTGCTGTTTTCGTTTACAAGAAATCCTTCTCGTGTAGTTGTGATAATGATTAAATGTGAGAATGTGTTTTTTACAGCATCTAGTACACTTCCTGACACATAGACATACACAGTAAACAATGGCCAATCATAGCAATAATGACTCTGAATATTCTGCCTTCATAGAAAATATTTTGTACATGTCTAGCAAATTACTGACATGGCCATATCGTCTCTTCATAAAGTGACTTAAAGTTGTAATGCAAGGGTCCTAACTGGGTTTGGCTACTTAGCCTGGATGCCAAAAGTTAAAAAATAATGAGAGTGCTGGAGTCAGCAGAACCACGGGGAGGCTGCACACACTGTTCTTGAAAAAGAAGTTGCAACCTGCCCAGCTGCTCCTGGAACTCCGTGTGCAGGGCGGGTGGCTGCTGTCGGATCCACCAGGTAGATATCTGGAGAGCCACACCTTCACTGTGAGAGTCTCACCTGAGCACAGCCCTGCCCTGGGTTAGGATGTGTCTGAGGAGGAACCCTGTCCCACTTGTCTAATCTCGCTTCTGGCAATGATTTTTCTGCCCCAGAGATACTAAAGAGACAGTGTAGCCTCGAAACCCGTTGGGGAGAGACCAGAACCAGGCTCTCCACTTGCTGGGACCTGAAATGAACAGCGCCTTCTTAGGCACCCCAGCACCCTGACTCCATGGAGCAGTCCTATGGGGGTGGAGTTGCTATCAGTCCTGTCAGGGCCCCAGGAGCAAGAGTGGATTTGCCTCTGGCAGGGAGAAATGCCACTTTGGAAGGAAAGAAAGGAAGTTGTGGATACTTGGAAATTATCTGATTGGATTCAGCTTTTTCCACCGGAGAAACAACTTTTGCTACTCTATCTAAACCTTCTCCCCTGCACGCCATGTCTGTCATGTACTTGAATCCAAAGATCTAAGAGTTTCCAAAGCTTATGGAGCAGAATCAACAAAACCAGCATTTAAAAATATATCTTCTTATGGCTTCTGTGAAGTGACCTCCGAGAAGAATCCAATCAATAGTGTTTTCAACCACATTAATCTGGACTAGACGATACTGTGCCCTTAGTCTAATGCATCAATTACTTGGTTATTGATAGTAAAGCTAATTGCCATATATATAAAAATATATATGAATATATATAAATATATATGAATATATAAATATATAAATATATATACATATATAAAAATATATAAATATATAAATATATACATATATATAAAAATATATATAAATATATTTATATATAAATATATATACATATATATAAATATATATACACATATATATAAATATATGTGTATATATATTTAGATGGAGTCTCGCTCTGTTGCCAGGTTGGAGTGCAGTGGCGTGATCATGGCTCACTGCAACCTCTGCCTCCTGGGTTCAAATGATTCTTGTGCCTCAGCCTCCTGAGTAGCTGGGATTACAGGCGTGCACCACTACGCCTGGTTAATTTTTGTATTTTTTGTAGAGACGGGTTTCACCATACTGGTATTGAATTCCTGACCTCAAGTGATCTGCCTGCCTTGGCCTCCCAGAGTGCTGGGATTACAGGTGTGAGCCACCGGTGCCAGGCCGCCAATTATATTTTGAGCATATCCAAAAGTTGACAGTCTTTACCTTTGGCAGTGGTGTAGAAATGGACAATATACATTTTGGATGGCTTCTTTTCTTTTTAAAACATGAAATGCTTTGGGGATGAAAATAGTTACCCGGAGGCCGTGTGATTTTAAAAAAGTTGTTGAAGTCTTAAATGATCCAGAATTATTGACTCAAAACTCACTAAACACTTATACGCTGAGCATTGTGGCATGCAAAATAATGGCCCCCAAGTGGTCCTCATCCCAATCCCCAGAACCTGGGAACAGGTTAGGCTACGTGGCAAAGGGAAATGAAGGTTGTTGTAGACGGAGTTAAGGTTGGTAGTCGGCCAACTTTAAAATAGGAAGATTATTCTAGATTATCTGGGTGGGCTCAGTGTAATCAAAAGGGTCCTTAAATGTGGAAAAGGGGGGCAGAAGAGTCAGGGTCCAGGTGATATAATGGGAGAGAGACTTGAATGGCCATTGCTGGCTCTGAAGGTGGAGGTGCCATGAGCCAAGGAATGTGGGCAACCCATGAAAGCTGGACAAAGCAGGAAACAGGGCCTACTTGTCTACCCCAGGGCCTCCAGGAAGAAAGTAGCCCTGCCCACACCTTGGGTTTAAGCCAGTGAGGTGTATGTCAGACATCTGACCTCCAGAACTGTAAGACAGCCAATCTGTGCTGTTATAAGCCATTGCATCTGTGGCGCACGTTTGCAGCAGCAATAGGGAACAACACCAGCACCTTCCACATTCCAGGCTCCCGCGCTAGGCTCTGCCACAGTGGACTCCTGATCTCGTGGGAGACGAAGCCAAGGTGCTTGGACGCCACAGGGTAGCTGCTTAGAGTCCAGGTCTTCTCCTCACCTCAGTTCCTATCCAATAGTGCTGTGTGACAGGCTGTCAACCTGGTGAGGGAGGAAGCAGGGTAGAAAATCACTGAACTCAGTGAAAAAGAAATCATGGCATTCGGTGGAGAAGAACTGGTGTTTGAAATTGTTTATCAGACTTCCTTCTTACTCCTGTAAATTGCATTACATATTAAGAATTTTTGTTCCCCACCGGTTGTTTTGACATCATGTAGACACAAGGTAACTGCTTTCCAATCAATTCCTTCTTCTTGTGGCCAACTTAATTGACTTATGGTCAGCGCAATCCGATGAGAGGTTACCCTAAGCATCTGTCCAAAGGGTCTGGCTGCCTGGCCGTGCCCCCGGGTCCTCCTGGAGGTCAGGAGCAGCCCTTTGACTTGTGCGAGGTCAGGACCCCTGCTTGCTGGTTATGGGCGCTCCTGCTGCGAACTGGTTGGACTTGGTTTTGTCAGTGGGCACTGAAGGAGAAAGGGGAGGTTTGGGGTCGGGACAAGGGACTGGGCAGGACGTGCTGACACTTGGGAATGCCGGCAAGCAAGTCAGGGCAAAGCGCTGAACCTAAATCCGACCGCGGAGGAGAATCAGGACCGCGCGGAAGGTCGCGGGGGCTCCTCGTGCTTTTCCACTGCTGAGGCCCAGGCAGCACTCGCCGTATTAGGGCCGCAGCCGGTCCAGGCCAAGCACACAGATGAGTGCGCCTTTCCTCCGTGAGCTGAGCGTCGGACTTCCGACCTCCAGAGCGGTAAGACGGCCTAAGCCACGACATCTGTGGTGCATTTTTGTAGCAGCAATAGAGAACTGACGCCAGCGCCTGCCACGGTCCAGGCTCGGCGTTGGGTCCTGCCACAGCGGACTCCGGGTCTCGTGGGAGGGGGAGCCAGGGCTGTTGGGCGCAGCCGGGTAACTGCTCAGAGGGCTCATGTCGAGCCCCTCGGTTTCCTCCGTCCTCGCGAGTCAGGCGGCCTCTGCCGGGCGGGAGGCGGCAGATGGGTCCTAGTGGACCCCGCGCTCCTGGGGGCCTGGGGGCGAGGCGCGGCCCCCATCCTCCTCTCTCCGGGCCCCCCGTCCTTCTCTCCTCGGGCCTCCATCCTCCTCTCCCGGGGGCTCCATTCTCCTCTCCCCGGGGCCCCGTCCTCCTCTCTCGGGGGTCCCCATCCTCCTCTCCCCTGGGCCCCTGTCCTCCTCGCCCCGGGGCTCTGGTCCCTTCCCTGGGGGCGGCCGCTGCGCTAGCGGCCGAGGCTTCCCGTTATCCTGCAGGCAGCAAGTCATCACCACCTCGTGGGGCCCTGGAGGTGCATTTTCCTCAGTCGCGCATTTGTCTCGGGGGCTCCCAGCCCTGCCTTCTAAAAATGCTTAGACGGGAGGGGTCACCAGCCCCGCACGGTGCGCCCAGCTTCCTTGGTCTCACTGGAGGCGACACTCTCTTGGAGGGGCTGGGGTGCAGGGGACTGAGCAACAGACCCCCAAACGATCAGTCACTGCTCCTCGAAACAAATCCATGAAGGTACAATGCCTTGCATCGTAGAATGAACTTATTTTTTTCTATCCATGTTCCCACTTTCTTTGCATGTTTTGTCTTCTCATATTCTAGTGACTTTGGCCGCTGGTGCACGATGCCAGGGCCTTTTTATTTTTATTTTTATGTATTTTATTTTATTTATTATTATTATTTTGAGACAGAGTCTTGCTCTGTCGCCCCGGCTGGAGTGCAGTGGCGCGATCTCAGCTCACTGCAACCTCCGCCTCCCGGGTTCAAGAGATTCCCCTGCCTCAGCTGGGATTACAGGCGCGCGCCACGACGCCCGGCTGATTTTTTGTATTTTAGTAGAGACAGGGTTTCACCGTGTTGGCCAGGATGGTCTCCATCTCTTGACCTCGTAATCCGCCCGCGTCGGCCTCCCAAAGTGCTGGGATTACAGACGTGAGCCACGGCGCCCGGCCGCCAGGGGCTTTTTAAAAAGATGGTTCCCTTTTTGTTTCTCTTTCAGTAACCTGATTAACTGCACGCGTTCATTTATTCAACCATTATTGCCATGTGGCTGCTTGGAGTCTGCCATTCTCATGTGAAGGAGACACGGTCCCTGCCCTCCTGGAGTTTATATTCCAGCAGAAGAAAGGTGCAAATGAAGCAGTGCACATCTCCTCTCAGGAAGGGATGGATGCTTCGAGGAAAATCAAGCCAGCAGGGAGGGGAGCTGTTTATAGAAGGGGAAGGGCCTCAAAGGGCATTGTGGGCAGAGGGGGGGACCCAGCCTCCCTGCAGAGATCACATGCAGCTGGGTAAAGTCATGGGAGCCAGACAGAGTGTCCTGTTTCTCACACAGGAAAACTCACTCCTCCATATTTTTATATAAATTATCAAGATATTTCCAGCAAAAGCAGATTTTGGGAGGGCTTGAGCTGTCGGGATGGTTGCCTCGGGTTTCCACGTTGTTTTGCATGTGGAGACAAAGTCTGATTCCAAGCCT
Organism: Homo sapiens; assembly: GCF_000001405.40. Classification (NCBI taxonomy): domain Eukaryota; kingdom Metazoa; phylum Chordata; class Mammalia; order Primates; family Hominidae; genus Homo; species Homo sapiens. Next base: position 163,632,372 of record NC_000006.12, read on the forward strand.
TCTTTACGAGCACTTCTTAAAACTTATCTTCTATTTGCAGAAAGCAACCGCTCCCTATGGCTAATATTGCAGAGGTTGCTTAGAGCAAAGTTTTCACTCAGGGCTAAAATTGGCTGAGATGTTTGGTGGCGCTCAGTGTAGCCTCCCAGTGGGGCAGGAATGAGAAAAAATGTCATGATCCCATAATATACCCATTATAATGGAAGCATTAATTTAACCAAATAACGGGTTCTTTATATTTTTCACAGAGATTGCTCTGTCAGAACAGCTAGTGCATAAGATATGAAAAGGAACAATCTTTCCAGGTAATGTAGGGAAAAATGTAATTTTGCAACACTTGATAGAGCAAGAGGCCAGAAATTGAGATTGAGGGAAGATGTTGGTTTCTGTATAAAGAACATCAATAGTACATGCAAGAAAATATCTCCAACTTTTGTTTTCTTTTTTCTTTCATTTTAAGAATTAAAAAATGATAAAATCTTAAAATGCAAGGAGACTGTGTTAAGGTCCTGCTTATAAGCAGGGTAGAAAATGAAAAAGGTGATTTCAATGGTAGAGGCTACATTTAGCTTTTTATTTTTTAATGAACAGCTCATAAAATTTCTAACTGAGTAGAAATTAAATGAATAAATAAAAGGCAATTCTTCCCTAACTTAGGAAAAATCTGAAATTCCATTTCTCAAGAACATAGTACATAGGTGATGTCTTAGTTATCTATTACTATATAAGAAATGACTCCTAAGTTTAATGGTTTTAAATAACAAAGCTTTCTTATCTCAGCTTAGCTGGCTACCTATCTCTGAGTCTCCCAGGGGGCTGCAGCCAAGGTGTCAGCTGGGGCTGCAGTCTCATCGGAAGGCTCAACAGGGAAAGCATCTCTCTCCAAGCTCACTTATGTGGTTGTCAGCAGGAGGTAGCTCCTCACTGGCTATTATCTGGAGGCTAGCCTCAGCTCCTTGCCGGGTGGGCCTCTCCACAAGGCAGCTGACACCATGGCAGCCAGCATCTCTGATATGGTTTGGCTGTGTCCCCACCCAAATCTCATCTTGAATTGTAGCTCCCATAATCCCCATGTGTCATGGGAGGGACCTGGTGGGAGGTAACTGAATCATGGGGGTGGGTTTTTCTGTGCTGTTCTTGTGGTAGTGAACAAGTCTCATGAGATCTGATGGTTTTATAAAGGGCAGTTCCCCTACACACACTCTCTTGCCTGCTGCCATGCAAGACATGCCTTTGCTCCTCATTTGCCTTATGCTATGATTGTGAGGCCTCCCCAGCTATGCGGAACTATGAGTCCATTAAACCTCTTTTTCTTTATAAATTACCAAGTCTTGGTTATTTCTTTATAGCAGTATGAAAATGGACTAATAGAATCTTTCAGAATGAGCAAGAAGAGAGGGAGAGGGAAAAGGCATGGAAGACAAAGCCTCTGCCTCTTTGTAACTTAACCTCAGAAGTGACATCCATCACTTTTGCTGTGTTCCATTCATTAGAAGCCAGTTACTAGGTCCAGTCCATGCTTGAGGGGAGGCGATTGCACAGGAGGTGAACACCAGGGTTTGGGGATCATTGGGAGTCATCGTAGAGGCTGCTGACCACAGGCGATATCTGTGTACCTGCGTAGCTGTGATCAGTCTGCACTAGCAAGAAAACTTTCCACAAATCTCAGTACATTAATGTGCTTAAGCGGAGAAATTTGAAGTGAGTTCATATCATTTTTTGGAAGGGCCAAAAGGATATTTTGGGCAAAAGTATGCTCGTGAAAGTTATGGAAGAGGGAAGAAGGGAGCGGGTGAGCCCTTTGAGGGACTCCAGGCTGAGCCTATGATCTAACAATACATTGAATAAATTATTAATAACTGGTCATCAGAAACAGCAAACTGCTTTCCACTCCCAGGCCTTTTGAGCAGGCGCTGGGAAAAGCTATAACGTTGCTGGTTTCCGAAGTCCTGGGCGGTCAGCAGACTGCATATCTGGAGGCAACTGTCCCATCCCGCTGTGTTCTCTGCTCATTAGCCTCTGTGCTTCCTGCTTTCCGAAGAGTGAGTGACAAAGGGGTAGATGCAGTAGCTTTGACTTTCGGATCACAAGCTCGGGTGATCAAGAAAAGTAAGCTACTGAGTTTTTCAAAAACCAGTTACATAATTTCCACGTTTCTAAGCCTCAGTTTGACTCTCTCTACTGCTGTTTGCTAAGCTGCACCTGAGTTTCAGGGAGGGTGGGGGAGAGCTACTTCAGGGAGGAAGCACTGGGAGCAGTGTTTGCTCCTTGGCTATCACGTCCACGCTTGCACCTGCCGAAATGTTCTCTGCTCTGCTGGGTCCCCGGGGTCTGAGGATGAGTCACCCGCCTCTGTTTGTGAGGCCCTGGGGCTGTCATCTCCATGAGACGGAGGTAGTTGGGGCTGGTCCTGCTGCTCTGGAAGTTGCTGCGGCTCTGGCAGGTCCCCGAGGCTGGTCCAGGTGCTGCTTGCCCAGACTTGCCATGCAGCCCTTTCTCCTTAGGGTTGGCATCTTTCCAGAGCTCTACCTGTGCAGGAAAGGTACGGGTCTTCATACCCTGGGTCACAGACGCCTCCCTGGCCTGCGGAGGAATCCCCTCTCCTGCCCCCTGTGGTGGGTGGAGGAGAAGGACCCCTTCTCAGATGCCTGCCCTGAAGCTCCACCTCCCTTCGATTTTTCTTCTCAGCAAGTCACTTTCTGGATGGTGATGGAAAGCATCACTCTGAGCCCTCACAGATTTCTCCAAAGGCTTTTGTGCTGGCCCTAGGTGCTTTCAGTGTCCTTCAAGGCCATGCTTTCAAACTCAAAGGCCAAGGAGTGTGTGCCTCCCTGAAGGCTGAAGATTTCCCTGGAACTGTTGGCTGTCGGGGGTCGGTGTTGGTGGCGGAGTGTTCTGGGGGGCTTGAAATAGCCGTGTGTGCCTGTGTGAACCAGTGTGTGACTGTGTGCACCTGCATGTACAACTGAGTAGGAGTGAGTGTGAGCGAATGAGAGTGTGGATGACTGTGTGAAAGTGAGTGTATGTATGAATGACAGTGACTGTGTGTGTGTAAGACTGAGTGTGAGTGTGAGTGGAGTTTGAGCAAATGAGAGTGTGAATGAGTATGTGAAAGTGAGTGTGAGTGTGTGTATGAATGAGTGACTGGGTGTATGAGCGTGAATGTGTGTGTAAGACTGAGTGTATGAGTGTGAGTGTGTATGCGTGTGAGTGTAAGACTGAGTTTATGAGCGAGTGTGTGTATGCATGTGAGCGTGTATGTGTGTTAGTGGGTGTCTATGTGTGTTAGTGAGTGCGTATGCATGTGAGTGAGAGAGTGTGTGTGCAGTGGTTAACATCTCACAGACATTTCCTGGCCACACAAAGGACATCGAGGAGTCCGGGATCCTAACTGAAGCTGGATGGGAACGGCCGAGGTAAGGCCTAGTGAGAAGTCAGGGAGTGTGGGGGAGTGGAGACTGAACACGGGAAAGATGTGCGGGTGGTCTGGCAGAGAGACCTGAGAAAAGATGACAGCCCCTCGCTCCCCGGTATGTGTAGCTATCAGGCAGCCGCTTATCCCCAGGGATGAGGAACTGAGGCCAGAAGAGGGTGGAAGCGCCAGGGAGGCAGGGTCGGTGTGGGACGGGAGGCCCTGTTATTCCCAGACCTCTGCAGGTGGACAGAAGCCCCCCGGTCGTTGCCTCCAGGGTACTGTCCTGCTCTTGCCTGCAGCTTGAAATACGAAGGCAAATCAATACAAAGGCTGCGAGCCCCGCGATGCATCGGGGACATTTGCATCAGCTCCTGTTTTCAAATGCGCAATTACTCTGGGAGGCTCTGGGCTGGGGAGAATGTACCTCTTCATAGTTGTGTGAGCGAGTGTGTGTATGAATGACTGACTTCAGATTTACAAGCAAGATGTTACAGTCAAATTTTTACGTAACTATGATAATCAGAGTTTCTATTTTGGTTCTGAAGAATTAAATGATACAATCACAGAGACAATGACTTTTTAAGATTGTGTGTGTCTTATGATCTTTCCACCCTATGGCCTTTTGTTAATTGTAATTATTTTTTCCACAGATAGACTCTATCGAGTCAGGCATGTTGAGTGATGCTCACATTTAGTCTTGACCGCGGTCAGTCCTGCATGGCAGGCATCCTCACAAACTCCGTACAGGTGAGGAAACAAAACAGAAGAGATTAAGTCACTTGCTCACGTTCTCCCAGCAAGAAAAGGTTGAGAGCTGGGCTTTCACCCTGCAGGTTGCGTGGAAAACCTTTCCCATCCACACATTCTGCCTGGCTTCCCTGCTCTGCATGGGAGAATATCGTCTGGACTCCTTTCAGAGCCCCTGACCAGGATTTAAGCTTGTTGAAGATAGGGACCTGGAACAGCGCAGGCAGTCAATAAACACTTTCTGAATTAAACAATTAAACATAAAGACATTAAGTAATGTGGGTGATGAAATACATATTTAAAAAAGTGGTTTTGTGTTGAGGCTGAAAGTCATTTAAAAATGCAGTGTTCTATAAGAATCTGATATTTGTAAAGAAATCATAAATAGCTTAGGTGCTAGGAATGCAAATTTATGATCACCACAGACAACACTGGACATCAACAAATAACGTTTGTTCAAACACCAGTGGTTTCGTTATGAATTATTTAACTTCTCTTTCAACATGGAAAATAATTCAGATGTGATTGCATCTTTTTCTAATGTCAAATGTGCTGTACCTCTACGGATGGGAACCGGGAGTTGCTGGATAAACATGGACCGGCCAATGCCACGTGGGTGTGCAGGTCGGGTGGCCCTTCCAGTCTCAGGAGCGCTCCAGGAAGTCCCTGAGTGAGAGAGGCATAGAGTGGAGTGAGAAGGTGACACTGCCCCAAATCTGGATACTTGGAAGCACCAGATGATTATCTACTGAAGGGGGACAGTGTCTCCACGATCGTTGGAAGCAGTGAGTGCCATGGAAGATGTTAAGGAGAAGGGACCACTCTCAGGGGCTCCTGGGATGGCCGAGGAGCCGGGAGTCCAGGCAGCCTTGACAGGCTGTGGCGATGGGACCCAATCGCTCACAGTACAGAGGGAGCTTCACGGGGATTACATAATCCCAGTAGCCCCCCGTGAGGTGCTACCATTGTCCCCATTTTACAAACTGGTGAGGTAAGTCTTAGAGAGGTAACGTGACTTCCTCAAGGCTTTCCAAGGAAACTGGAATTTGCACTCAGATGTTCTGACTTTTGAACCTGTGCTCTTCACCCCAGCACAGTGCTGTCTGCCTCTGGAGTCTGGTGGTGGATCTGAAAAGTTAATGTAAATTTTGCATTTCACTTCCCATACTCCTTGTCTCAGTCTCTTTCATGAGATGACTCAGGTTTTGAAATGGGGACCTGAGAAAGACGTGAACCCCCTAGATTCTGCCTTTGTGACCTAGGAGCACCTTTAGAGCAGAGAGCAATGGACTTGGTCTATGTTAGCTTGACTCTTCATAGCAATTATAGCCTTGACTGAAATTCAATATTATATCCTGGGGTATTTCCGTGTTTGGTAGCACCTCAGCTACAGATATGGTCCACCCACAACAATGTTCTTTATGTTGGGACATCTGGGATTAACTTCTTGAAATATGGTGCCAGGAAGGATTTCATGTTCCTAAAGAATAAGTATGTAACCTCTGTGCTTGGTCCACCACAAGGGCCAAAGATAGTACTTAATTCAACCCCAGTTTAAAGTTAATCCCACGCAACCTCTGCATATTTGGGGAAAAAATAACAATATGGATTTTCATGTATTTTCCCACTTTCCTTGAGAAATTTCAGATCGCTTCAAGTAGCTTTTGTGCACTTGGAAATGGGAACTTACCATAAGCCTTTCTAAATCTTTTCTTGGAAGTATGTAGGAGTTGAACTATAAACGTAAGAGCATAAATATTTCACTCATTACACAGACCTCACCACACACCATACAACATTTTGTTATGAGTGTGGCCTAGGTGACAACATCCACATTCTGTGTCTCTGTGCACCACAAGAAGCAGGGGTTGGCAAACTACAGGACGTGGGCCAAATCTAGCCCACTGCATATTTTTATGAATAAAGTTTTATTTAGAATACAACTACACAAGTTTATGCATGTGTTGTCTGTGGCTGCTTCTGGGCTACAATGGCAGAGTTGAGTGGTTGCCACAGAGACCTTACATACAGCCTGCAAACTCTAGCATGTTTTCTTTCCTTTCTTTCTTTCTTTCTTTCTTTCTTTCTTTCTTTCTTTCTTTCTTTCTTTCTTTTCTTTCTTTCTTTTCTGTCTCTCTCTCTCTCCTTTCTTCCTTCCTTCCTTCCTTTTTTTTTTTTGAGATGGAGATTCGCTCTTGTTGCCCAGGCTGGAGTGCAATGGCACGATCTCAGCTCACTGCAACCTCCACCTCCTGGGTTCAAGCGATTCTCCTGCCTCAGCCTCCCGAGTAGCTGGGATTACAGATGCCTGCCACCATGCCCATCTAATTTTGTATTTTTAGTAGAGACAAGGTTTCACCTTGTTGGCCAGGCTGGTCTTGCACTCCTGACCTCAGGTGATCCACCCACCTTGGCCTCCCAAAGTGTTGGGATTACAGGCGTGTGAGCCACCGCACAAGGCTTCTCTAGCATGTTTTCAATGTGGCCCTTTACAGAACAAGTTTGCTGACCCCTGGAATAAAATGTAAAAGACGGGCAGCACCATAGAAGTTTCTGTCTAAAGAGAATTTCAGCTAACTGGCTAGATAGTAGGAACACACTTAATTTTTTTGCAAGTGGTGGGGGCAAGGAGGGGAGTAAATAGTTCTGCTATAAGGCTCTTCATTTTACGCTGAGTGCAGTGAGGTCCTAGATTCAGAAAACAGGGGTTCCAGTAGGAATTCTTCCACTCAACAGGTGTCTGTGGGAAACGACTTCATCTTCACACAAACCTTAGCTGCTTGACCTACCTCTTAGCATGGCTGAGAGGGTCAAAAGGAAGAATGGAAATGAATTTCTCTACAAAGTGTTATTTTTGTGGCAGTTCGGGCTTAAGAGCTATGTTGAGCTCTGGACAACGATATTTTTCACCATCCGTTTGTTCAGGGACCCATTTAAACTAACAACTGTCTAGTACCGTCCCAATCTACCCTCAGTTAGATTTTCAGAGTAGTTTGTTAAATGATGTATCTATTATTGTAACTTTCGGTTCACATCGTGTGGGAGAGAATTAGAATCTATTCATTCTGAAACTTGAGGAATGGGAATTGACAATATAGATATGGAAGCCACCAAAGGAAAAACTGAAGAATTGAAGCAGTATGATGTATAAATAGGGCAATTTTTAAAATATTTGAGTTAGCCAAATAATTTTCTTTTTTTTCCTGTTCATGGTGTTTGGCTGTGTAGACATGGCCTTAGTTAAATAAACTCATGAAACATCACCACATTGAGAAAAATCTATATTAGAATAAAATTTAAATGAATTTTCAGTATGGATTGGATGCAAGAACCCATAAAGATTTATTGCCATTATTTCAAACATCATTGAAATTAGATTTAATTATCTGTGCAATTTGCTGGAAATAGCATTTTAGCATTTTTGATCAAGTATATGCCATTAATTTTAAAATAGAAATGTACCAAGCTGGTTTTTAAAACATCTCCCAAAATATAATTTCTAAAGCACTTCTTTGAAAAAGTCTCTCTTCTTCCTTTCCTCATCCCAAATGTTTTGCCATTCCTAACTCTTAAATTGGCAAACAGATTATTTTTGTTTCTTTGCTTATTCCTTTTTAGACCATGACAATTTTGAGTGGCCAGATGGGTTCGGGTGACCGCCCGAGATATTCACATTAGAGGAAGAAAGGAAACAGCTTTGCTCTTCAGTAATTTCAGACTTTTAAAGGACACAGGTTAATGGCTTTTTATTATTGGGTTTTTCTTTGGGGAAAAGTAATCTTGTATTTTCTCCAGGTATGCCGGTGTCTATACGGCACACGGAAAAGATGAAATTTATCAAAGTAATTCACTTGGATGTTTCCACCGAGTAGTCATCCTCGGCAGCACGCTTTGTAAGAGCTCATTTTCTATCAAGGTGACGGTGTTAAGTGTACGGAGCCAAAGCTCCAGAGGCTGCGATTTGTGTTTTCACGCTTGCCTTCTTCACGGAGATCTATTTCATGCAGCTGAAATGCATGGACAGTGTAGCAAGGCTTCCCCTCGTGAGCTGCATGGTAGGAACTTGTCCTAGAATCATCTCCAAGGCCTTCCTCCCACCGTCGCCCACGCCAGCGCTGATATTCCGGCTTCCCACCTGCCTGCTGCCCCAGCCTCTGTTCTGTGGTTCCTGAGCCCCTGCCTTCCAGTTGGTTCTCTTTGCTGTCCATCCAACCTCGCCTCGCCCCGTGTCCCGCCCCCTCCCTGCCCTTCGAGGCCTGACCAACCCCACTCCCCCGATCGTCCATCATCTGTCACACACGGCACCCCTAGGCGACTCAGGGTTCGGGGAGGAGGAGACCAGACGGGGCCTTGGCTGGCATGGCCTCTTCACAGGGCTGCCGTGAAGAAACTTCGTGACAGCGGCGGAGAGGTGGCCCAGGAGTGAGACAAGCAGGCCCCGGGCCTTGGACTCAGACATGCTGGGTCCGGTCAGGCCCGTGTGGGAACCAGTGTTTTAGGGACTGGGTACTCTCTTAGAGAAGAACTGATGCTAAAGAGTCAGGAAGACACGAGCGGGCCAAATAAAAGAGGAAGAGAGGCCCTCAGGACATCATGGCACTTACTGCTTGGATTTGTCTCCCCGTCCAGAATTTTGTGGGCTCATGTCTGAATTTTTTATTATTATTATTTTTTTTTGAGGTGGAGTCTCGCTCTGTCGCGCAGGCTGGAGTGCAGTGGCGCGATCTCGGCTCACTGCAACCTCCGCCTCCAGTGTTTATGCCATTCTCCTGCCTCAGCCTCCCGAGTAGCTGGGAGTACAGGCGCTCGCCACCACGCCCAGGTAATTTTTTTGTATTTTTAGTAGAGACGGGGTTTCACCATGTTAGCCAGGATGGTCTCGATCTCCTGACCTCGTGATCCGCCCTCCTCGGCCTCCCAAAGTGCTGGGATTACAGGTGTGAACGACTGCGCCCGGCCTCATGTCTGGTTTTTAAGAGAGAGAGAGAGAGTCAGAGAAAAGGAGGGGGGTGGAGAGAGAGAGAGAGAGAGAGAGAGAATAGAAAGAATGCTTACATGAACACACAAGAGAATGAAGTAAAAATAAAAACGCCAGTTGGTAGATTGCAAAACTCTTCTCAGTTTTGAGACTTTATTGTTCTTCCCACAGAAACCACCCTCAGGGCCCCCTTGAATCCGAGCGAACCTTGTGAAGATATGCTTCCACCAACAAGACGTGGAGAGAGTGATATTCCCTCGGCTTTCACAGGCCTGCAGCCTCTGTCTCACTCTCTTGGAAGGCTGCCCTGAGAGCGCCACGGAGAGCACTAGGCCCACCTGCGGGAGGGTGAGAGGCCGCATGAAGGGAACCTGAGGCACCCAGCCAGGACCTAGCACCCACAGCCAGGCATGCTGGTGAGGCCCACTCAGTCCTTCCCAGCCAATAGTCCAGCTCGATGCAGCTGCAGGAGCGAGCCCAGGTGAGAGCAGCTGAGGAACCACCCACCCGCCGACCCACAGAAGTGCAAACAGCCATAAACTGTGTTTAAGTCACTGAGTTTTGGGGTCATTTGTGGTGCAGCAAATGCAACGGAACCAGGCTGCTTTACTAAAGTCGCGGTAAGATCTGTTGGGATGTGTCTTGTACTACTCAGGAAGAACACAGCGTTCTCCTAAGTGCTGAGGGAACTTACTGTCCCAGCACCGGGAGCGAGAATCCTTCTCATGGAGGGAGTGTTCCTTGGGCAGTGGGTTGATGGTGGGGCTGTGTGAGTCTTTGAGAACTGCTTTGGTGCAAAAAGGGAAACCTGAGGGGCCGAGGTAGCAGCAGTTTTCACATGAGGAATTGGCAGCAGCTGGGGGTTAGGGAGGGAGCGGGAAAGACCGAGCTGAGCACCACTTTGGGAGGGGCGCCGGGTTTGCAAAAATGTCTGAAGGACTTTGGAGAGGCTCACAGTGGATTTGCTGCAATGTAAATGCCTCGGTTACACACAGAGCTGATGCGAGTGTTTGGACACCCTGGGACATCTGAACGACACACGATTTCAGTGCATTGAGGACCCCAGAGGTTCTGACTCAGGGCAGGTCTGGTGATGTTGTGGTGGAAGCTCTTTTTTCATCGCCCAAAGGAGGCTAAGTGGGCAGGAAGGGCCTCATGAGCAGGCATCCCAGTGGGGCCAACCAGAGAGCAAGGAAAACGGGGAGGGGACCCCAAAGCCCCAGCTCAGCATTCGTTAATGCTGGTGTGACGTCTCTGGAGGGTGCCTGAACTAACTGGAGATGGGGGTCACACGGGGCAGGTGGAACAGAGATCCACTCTCAAGAGGAGAAGAGAAGATAGAAAAGTAGTCCTGCAATGTGACTCCGTTCTAAACTTGGCACCAGTGAGAATGGGGGAAGCAGAGACATGCAGAGAAAGCCAGAAATGCGGGGGACCGCTCAGTACGTGTTTTTGGCTGGAGTGAATGGTGAGTGGGCTCGGGAAAAACTCCGCTGGTCTGTCAATTTCCAGGTGGAGAATTTGCAATGACTTTTCTGGCTGACTCAGCTGATCAAAGTAGGTCCACGTTGTTTTCCTTTTTTTTTTTTTCTGAGACGGAGTTTCGCTCTGTAGCCCAGGCTGGAGTGCAGTGGCACGATCTCGGCTCACTGCAAGCTCCGCCTCCCAGGTTCACGCCATTCTCCTGCCTCAGCCTCCCAAGCAGCCGGGACCATAGGCGCCCGCCACCACGCCCAACCAATTTTCTGCATTTTTAGTAGAGACAAGGTTTCACCGTGCTAGCCAGGATGGTCTTGATCTCCTGACCCCGTGATCTGCCCGCCTCGGCCTCCCAAAGTGCTGGGATTACCAGCGTGAGCCATCGCGCCAGGCCTGTTTTCCTTTAAAAAAAAAGATGTGCTCCCATTAAGTAAATAACCCCTTATTAACATTCTTCTGGGCCTGCGTGGTGGCTCACGCCTGTAATCCCAGCACTTTAGGAGGCCAAGGTGGGCGGATCACGAGGTCAGGAGATCGAGACCATCCTGGCTAACACGGTGAAACCCCGTCTCTACTAAAAATACAAAAAAAATTAGCCAGACGTGGTGGCGGGCGCCTGTAGTCCCAGCTACTCGGGAGGCTGAGGCAGGAGAATGGCGTGAACCCGGGAGGAGGAGCTTGCAGTGAGCCGAGATCGCACCACTGTGCTCCAGCCTGGGCTACACAGCGGGACTCCACCTCAAAAAAAAAAAAAAAATTCTTCTGAATAATTTCATGCATCTATATTAGTTTTCTGTTGCTGTGTACCATATCACCACACACTTAGCAGCTTAGAAAAACGTGCACTTACTGCTTCCTAGTTCGTGTGGGTCAGGAGGCTGGGTTGTGGGATACCTGGGGCCACTGCCTAGGGGCTCAGCAGGCTGAAATGAAGTTGGCTAGAGCTGGGTCTCCATGGACACTCAGGGTTCACTTCTAAGCTCGGTTTTCGCTGGTGGAATTCATTTCCTGTTGGCTGTTGGCTGGGGCTTGCTCTCAACCCATTGAGACTCCCTGTGGTTCCTTGCAAGGTGACCCCATAGGCAGCTCACAGCATGGATGTTTGCTTTGTTCCAGGCCAGGATCTGTGACCTCACCTTCTTCAGAGTCCCCTCTGATCGGGTCAGGCTCATGTGGAATAATCTCCTGATTACCAAAGACAGTAGATGGGTGTCCTACTCACAGTGGCCCCCCTCACACTCCAAGGGAGGGCACTGCAGGGTGTGTACACCAGTGGGCAGACTCTTGTGGACCATCTCCAGTCTTGCCACCCATAGTATCTCTGTGTAATTTGGTCTCAGGAAATTACTGAAGGCTCTATCCCAGCTTATTCACTCCTGTAACAAAATACCTTAGACTGGGTAATTAATAAAGAACAGAATTTTGTTTCTTACAGTTCAGGAGGCTGGGAAGTCCAAGATCAAGGTGCTGGCATTCAGTGTCTGATGAGGGGCAGAAGACAGAAGGGACAAAGAGCCTGGTGAGGCCCCACAAGCCCCTTTGTAAGGCACTAATCCCAGTCATAAGGATAGAGCCCTAGAGACCGTACCACCCCCTAATGCCTTCATCTCTTAAAACTATCACATTGGGCATGAGAGATTAACTATTTCTCACAGGCGCAGTGGCTCACACCTGTAATCCCAGCACTTTGGGAGGCTGAGGTGGGCAGATCACGAGGTCAGGAGATCGAGACCATCCTGGCCAACATGGTGAAACCCTGTCTCTACTAAAAATATAAAAATTAACTGGGTGTGGTGGCACATGCCTGTAATCCCAGCTACTCGGGAGGCTGAGGCACGAGAATCACTTGAACCTGGGAGGCGGAGGTTGCAGTGAGCTGAGATTGTGCCACTGTACTCCAGCCTGGCAACAGAGCGAGACTCCATCTCAAAAAAAAAAAAAAAATTATCACATTGGGGTTTAAATTCCAACATAACATATACTTTGAGGGGGCACATTCAGACCATGGCAGGTGTCACTACAGGTTGCATTTTATTTCCTACCTTTCTCATGACAGACCTCAGAAGGACCTACACTCCCATATGACCTAGTGGCCTCTGATGTTCTCCTCACTCTGGCCACTTTGATGGTTCAAGGTCAGCCTGCTTCTCTGACTTCAAGGTTGAGGGTCTGGAGCTGACCTTCTCCAGATAAAATGGGGGAAAGGCAGAAAGTATTTTCTCTGTACTTTGGTTCTACAGAATTTACTTCTTGACTCCACAGAGTTGAAAGAGAAAAACTGGAGCAAATGAAGAGAACCAGGGAAAATAACCTATCAGCGCCCTGTACTCGGAAGTCATGCTTCAAGCGACAGGAAGGGACTACCTGCCATCGAGAGTGGTCACAGAGAACGTGTTCACCAGATCCATGCTCACCTTTCATGCCAACCCGGCTTCATGGGGAAATTAGTTTGGTAGGATTACCGTGTCAGAGCTGGTACATGCTAACGTGGGAACCCAAATATGAGTGGGTTTACATCTTGTTAGGTTCTCCTGAGATCTCTAGATGATATTTTTTATCTTTTTTTTCCCTTTGTTCCTAAGTGTGCTGAGCTTATTTCAAGCACAGTCAATTCAAAATCAACCTCTGCTGTATTTCTGCAGCCGGGGCTCGGAGCACTGAGGTGATTCAATGCAGTAATTAACGTCAAACACGAAACAATCAGTGTGTGTGGGTGATCACGTCTAAACAACTCAAAAAGAAAGACCCGGTGTGTTTGGCATGTTTAGATACAGACTCTCACCTCGTTTGCCTTCACGGATTCCAGGTTGGATTGTAGATGATGAATAATGAGCACATTACTCATGCCCTGAAAGCATGACATTGGCAAATCACATCGTTGTTGCAGTCTTAAGAAATACTGCATGATTCTGTTTTGACATATTTTATTTTCGGGAAGGAGAGCAGTTATCTATATGGGCTCACCTCAAAGTGCCTACAACTGATGGAGCATTATCATATTCCATAAATAATTTGGGCACGAATGTCATTATAGGTATAAATCAAAAGGACAACTTTTGCTTCCAGATTTGCCTGTGTTTGTAAATTTATATTGTATTCAGTAAGGAAGGAGGTAACCTGCAGAGCTGTTCAAATGGCTTAAAGCTCACTAGCTGTTGGGAGCCAGGCAGCAAAACTAAGAAGCTGTAGCTTTATTGGCTGGTGTTAAAAAGAACTGACGCTTATGAAGTAGATGGGAGAGGAAGCCATTGTAGAAGCTGGCTATGGTCCAGAGCTGCGGTTCTCAAACCTGCGCGGGCATCGGAGTCACCGGCAGACTTGCTGAACACAGGTTGCTGGGCTCCACCCCAGACTTTCTGGTTCACTGCATTTCTGACCAGGCCGATGTGATGCCGAGCCCACATTCACAACCCTTCACCAGAGATCAAAGTGTTCCTCATGGGAAGAAAGTTGGACTTTGCTTTAGGGAAGCACTTTGATGAGACCCTTCCATTGACAAGTTCAAGACTCCTCCTTAAGCTAGTTCGGATTCAAAAGCAGAATTCAAAAAGTAGTAAGGCAACGTGAAAGTGAAGTTGCCCTGTATAATAAAGCAAGGGGAGTTTTGTTGTTGGATGGTAGCTGGAGGGCAGAGATAGGACCGTGGATGATGGGGAGAAAGGTGAAAGGACCAGGGGTACACTCTATAGTAAGATGGTGGCAGACCTGGAATCCACATGGTAAGAAACTTCCTGAGGCTGGAAAGGGCCAATGAATCCCCAGAAAGAGTGGCGTCAGATGTTCAATGCGAAGTTTTCCTGAACTGTGCTGCTGTTTTTCCTGTGATCCCCAACTCTGACCTCCACCATTATCCCCAGCATTTACTAAAGATCAGGTCTATTCACTAGCCTCACTGAGTTCTTTAGGATCTTGCCACTCAGGGTGTGATCTATGGACCTACAGCAAGCTGGCCTTCCAGAGAGCTTCTCAGAAATGCAGAATCTAAGGCTCCACCCCCACCGACTGAATTGAAGTCTGGAGTTTAACAAGATCCCTGTGATGTGTTTGTGCATTTGTGTTTAAAGGAACTTTTAAGGCAGAGTTGTCCAGACTTCTATGATATCACTGTTGCCCGGGACACTTTTTAGGCATGCATATTTTGGGCCCTACTCCAGCCTTTTGAATCAGAGTTGTCCAGAGAGAGGCCTAGGAGTCTGTGTTTCTAATTCTTATGACGGAGCATGTTTGGGAGGAAACTTCTTTAAGGGAATGAAGGGGAACTGTTTTGATGCTTGGGTGGTTAAATCGAGGCAGGGACAGGAGGTCAGCCACAGGAAGCACGCAGCAGGTGGGGATGAAAGTGAACAGAGAGTAGGACTTTGTAGTAAAAGGTGACAGAAGGACATAAACCCGCTGCAGGAACCTCAGACCGCCTTGGCAGCATTAGGAAGGTCTCTGGATTTGCCCTAGACTGGTTGCTTTCAAGTGGTGGGGAGGGATTTGGCAACATCTGGAGACACTTTTGGTGGTTACAAGTGGGAGATCTCACTGGCTTCTGGTGGGTAGAAGCCAGAGATGCCGCTAAACCTCCTGCAATGCAGGACAGTCCCTCCTACAGTGGCCCCAAATCTTAGCCGTGCTGAAGTTGAGAAACCCTGGTCTAGGGCTGTGGCTTTAAGTGTGGTCCTGAACCAGCAGCATCATATTGCCTGGGAATACGGGACTTGTTAGACACGTTAGTTCAACTTTCTTCCCCTGAGGGGGCTGCATCTCAGACCTCCTGGGTCACACACCGTAGGGCCGGGGTCCAGCGATCCGTGGTTCAGCAAACACTCCAGGTGGTTCTGATGCACACTACAGTCTGAGGACAACTGCGGACGTAGGCAGAGTGGGGCTCCCATTTTTGTCCATACAAATTGCACAGCAAATGAAAGGTGGCCTAGGAGGCTCAGCACTTGAGGCTGTCTGGGTTCAGCTGCCACACCAGCCAGGGAGTCTTGTGTGACCAGCCTTGTCAGCACCCCTGTGAGAGGGGTCTGCACAAGGGCTCCATTGCGTCTCCTGGGATCCCCCGTGGAATGTGGCTTCCTGACTCCACTCAAGACCCAGGGATGTGCAAGCTTCCCGGGGGTCCCCATATTCTCTCCAAGTTTGAGGATGGCTGCCTTGTATTCTGTACTAAAACGGAGATCACTGTTTCCTCTCGTCCCATCTCTGGCTGCGAATCAATTTTTTTTTTCTGTTTTAACGCTATACTTCATATTCAATTTAACCTGATTTCATGGATGTATAGTGGTGGATATAGTTACCCTCAGGGCCATAATGTTGCCGTGTTTCTGAACGGAGCCTGCAGCGTTCTGCAGAGGTGCCTTAGGGCCCTCGCCAGGCAGTGGCTGGGCATATTTGCTCTTATGCTGTGCTGGTGTCTGCTCTTCTCCTCCCCACAACCAGACACACTCCACTTTAACTGTTGTGTGAACTGGGCTTCGGAGGGGGGGACAAAAAAGCTTTCTTCTGCTGAAAAAGGATAGCACTTCCCAACTTTTTTTTTTTTTTTTTTTGAGACAGAGTCTCTCTCTGTTGCCCAGGCTGGAGTGCAGTGGTGCGATCTTGGCTCATGGCAACCTCCGCCTCCTGGGTTCAAGTGATTCTCCTGCCTCAGCCTCCCGAGTAGCTGGGATTACAGGCACATGCCACTGCACCCAGCTAACTTTTGTATATTTAGTAGAGATGGGGTTTCACTGTGTTGGCCAAGCTGGTCTTGAACTCCTGACCTCAAGTGATTTGCCTGCCTCGGCCTCCCAAAGTGCTGGGATTACAGGCGGGAGGCACTGCGCCTGGCCTTCCCAACTTTTTTCTTGTCGGGGCACACACAGAGAACGGAGCTATTTATGCAGACGGGGATAAGCCACGGGCTTTGGAGCCTTTGAACAAACTCCTTGGAGGCTGGAAGGTGTGCGTTCAGCCCCACCAGCACTCGGTGTCCGGCATCCTGGCAGAATCCTGAGCCCCGCATGCTGGCCAGGAACACCCTGTACCGTCTGATTCCTACCATGACCCTGTGTGTGTGAAAGAATGAGGATCTGTCCTTGTGAGGACATCACCAAGGACACCTGCCTGTGGGCTGGGCACCCTGGGTGTTCCCAGTAGTGTTGACAGCTCTGGATGGCTCTGGGTGGCCCAGCCTCAGAGCCTTGCCTCGCTCCTTGTTAATTTAACAATTGTCCATGGAACATCTCCTGTGTGATGGATGCTTGGCAGATCAGCTGACTTCTGGTGGCTCTGCAGCAAGGCTGTTCAGGGTGTCGTGTGGGCATCATCTCCACTCCACTAAAGAGCAGCTAAAGCCCGAAGAGATGAAATGACTTGCCTCAGGTTACTGGCTCCAAGCTCAGCAAGATGTGCAATCTAGACTCTGCCTAGAACTCCACCTGAACCCCACCATCTCTGCAAGTGCAATGACAGGTCAGGCTGTGATGTCCGTTGGCTGTAGTGAGGACCGAGTCTCTGTTCCCAACTCCATCAGTGTGGTGTCAACCCCCAGGGCTAATTCAATTCGTTTAAGTGAATATATCTGAGTGCTGACTGTGTGCACAGCACTGTAGCAGGAGTGACACACTCTCAGTAGCCATTTATTTGAACAGGTAGAAGACTTGTCAGTCTGTCTTCTAGTTGTAGTCTTTTTCTTTTGAGACACAGTCTCATTCTATAGCCCAGGCTAGAGTGCAGTGGTATGATCTCGGCTCATTGCAGCCTCTGTCTCCCGGATTCAAGCTATTGTCCTGCCTCAGCCTCCCAAGTAGCTGGGATTACAGGTGCGTGCCTCTGCACCCAGCTAATTTTTGTATTTTTGGTAGAGACAAGGTTTCACCATGTTGGCCAGGCTGGTCTTGAACTCCTGACCTCAGGTGATCCACCTGCCTTGGACTCTCAAAGTTCTGGGATTATAGGCGTGAGCCACCATGCCCGGCCTAGTTGTAGTCTTAATAATATTTCAAAAAGTGGAGGTTTCAATGCAGAAGAGATATTCCCCACCAAAACAAGGACGATATTGGGGAACATAAGTTATTTTCATATGAGTTTGTGACAGAATAGCTAGGAGACCACCGAATGTTTGTTCCTGTTTCTGAGCACACAGCCGGAGTACACTTATCTGCTCTCCTTGCAGTTGGGTATTGTGATGTTACCAAGTTCTGGTCGCCTGAACACAAGGAGGTGTAATGTGCCCCTTCCAGGCCTGCCCCATAAAATGTCCCCACAAGTGATCCTTGACCATCCTCCCTCCTCTGCTGGCTGGACCAGGGGACTTTGGAAGGCATGTGTTGAAGATGGCAGAAGGGAAGGAGGTGGGCCAGCAGGGGAGGAGCTGCCTGTCCACTCTGCATGCCTGATGTCGGTTTCTCCCGGCAAGCCAACAGCAAGCGAAAGCGAACGTGTCCTGGAGAAAAAAACGGACCCTCCTTGGTCTGAGTCCTGGCTCTACCACATTAGCCTTGAGGTCTTCAGGAAGTTACTAACCAGTGTGAACCTCTGTTTATTCTTCTTTAGAGGGAGGATAGGATCTCTGCTTTGCCACAAAGGTGACACTGTGGGAAAGGTCAATTTAGATCTTGGGAATGGTAAAGCAGGAGAAGCTGCGGATGAGTGGCTCAAGGTCCAGATTGGTTATTAAACTTGTGCGGTTCAGCTGCTCAAGCTTCTAAACATTTCTGGACTAGATACCATCATTTAAAACCCAGGAGATTTCACATAAAAATTTGGATTTTTCCACTTTTCTTGAAAAGTCAGAGGCTCTGGCAATACCTAGCTAACATTCTCAAATGGCAGTGATGGGCTGGAGTTGAGCATACTGGCTTCCTCCCGTGGACAGTCTCCACCACTGCCTTACCATGGGGCCACATTAGTTACTTGCTGGCCTTTACAGAGTTTGAATTTTCAACTCTGATATTATACATATGTATGCTTTTGTTATTAATACAGTGGCTTACAACATATAAAATAATATCTACATTAAAATAAATAAGAGCTAGCTATATATTTAGTATCTAGGTCAGCTAATTAAGCTTAACAACGTGCACCAGACTACATTGGGAACAGATGGTTGGACATCTCCCAGCAACAGCCATAAATGAGAGGTGAGGATTCTACTTTTCAAGGGGGACTAACGGGAAGACCCTCAATTATTGGGCATTTTTCGCTCTGGGTCCTTGGCCTCAGGGTACATCTGTGTTGGCCTGAGCCAGACATCATAAGCCTTTGACCCATTGGAGAGAATCAAACCTTACTCAAACCTTGGGAAGCTGAGAAACCCATTTAGAGGTCATCTATTTGCTCTGAGCTGTAGTTTTCTCCAGTTTCTGCTAGGCCAGAGAGCAAGGAGTCATCACTGACAATCCAAATGCACTCTGCGTTTAGGGGAGGAGAGTGGGCACCACATTCTCAGGTCTTCTAATAGGGTCAGCCCACAGGAGATGCCCATTATCTTAGTAAGAACCACAGCCCTAAAAACTGAACACCCTCCAGTGAAACTATCAGAGAAACAGGGCCTCCCCGAAAGTGTTAATGTGACTTCCATAGTACAACACTTATCCTCAATGACCGATTTTGGCAGTCCAGTGGGGAAAAACAGCTTGCAAAGCAGTTAAAAGCCTGAGAGCCAGGAGAAGAACAAGATTTGAGAAATGGATCACTGAGAACAAGTTATGTTTAATTCAAAGAGGAGCCAGAACTGCCAAGGTACCGCATTACTGAAGCTGAAGGAATCACCCTTGCCACTTGGAATATAGTTAGGGACTTGATTTTGTGAAAATGAAGACTCTCCCTATGCAAGCAAAGAAAATAAGATGGAAACATTGGTGTATGGGGAGTCAACTAAAGGATTCCAAGCAATTTATTTCCATTCAGTTCAGTTCAAGAGATCAGTAGTCATATATTATTCTACCTTGTTCTGAAATAGTGTAGGTTTCATATTTATTATCATGGTTATGAATAAAATAAGTCCTTTCTCAGGAAAGTATAAAGAAATTGTTCTTGTTGCAGGAAAACATTTAGGGATTTTTTGTGTGTGTCATCCTTGGGTCTTGTGCAAGATGGAAAGAGGCTTTGTGGAAGAGATCCGAGGGGCATAGTGAATGGGAGCTGCCCGTGAATCATCTGCACAGACCAGAGCTGAAGCAGGGATGCAATAAGGGATATTCAAAGCAGGCTGACACAGCCAAACTGCAAAGTAATCCTTCTTTTATGCTCTGTGCTGGGCAGGCTGTTGAAAACATGCTTTGCAAATAGGGCTTTTGCAAAGAAGAATCCATGCCAGAGGTCAGAAGAAGGTCACAGAGGTGGTCTACATGTAGGAAATAAGAACCCGGCAGAAAGGTGAAGGCTGTTCTTCTTACAGTGTGGTCCCCACACCACTACCACCACCAGCAGCAGCAGCCCCTGCGAACTCATTGGAAATGTACATTCTTGGGCCCCACAGCAGAACTCCCAAACCAGAAATGCTTAGGGTGGGGCCCAGCAGTCTGTGCTTTAGCAAGCTCTCCCTGTGATTCTGACTCAGGCTAAAGTTCAAGAGCACTGGGTTAAGGGGAGCAGAGCTCATTAGCACAGAGAAGAGAAGGCGGAGTGGGGAGTTTAAACTTTGCAGTTCAAGCTCAGGGTTAGCAACGCGCTTCCTCCCATTCCCACCCATTTCTCCCAAGGGCAGGACAGCAGGCGGTGGCAATACCTACTACAAAGTGAACCCCAGGGGCTCATCCCAGCTGCTACACCGAGTCACCTGGTGGACTTTCCTAACAGCTCCATGCTGGGTATTCTGATTTAATTGGTGTATTATTTATCTAGTTAAGCTCCTCAAGCGAATCTCATGTGCAGCCAGGATTGACAACATGACCCCTGATAATGCAGAAGAACTGGACAGGAGTAAATGTGCTGCCGCCCTACCGCGGATTCACATGGGAGAGGCGTGTCCTCAAGGGAAGGCAGTTTGCTAAGGACCATTTCAGGTTACCAGTCCCTGGAGGGGGCCCCTGCTATCTCAGGACTCCCAAAAAGCCTCGGCTGACCAGGTGCAGTGGCTCACGCTTGTAATCCCAGCACTTTGGGAGGCTGAGGTGGGTGGATCACCTGAGGTCAGGAGTTCGAGACCAGCCTGGCCAACATGGTGAAACCCCATCTCTACTAAAAATACAAAATTAGCTAGGTGTGGTGGCACGTGCTTGTAATCCCAGCTACTTGGGAGGCTGAGGCAGGAGAATCGCTTGAACCTAGGAGACAGAGGTTGCAGTGAGCTGAGATTGTGCCACTGCACTCCAGCCTGGGCAACAGAGTGAGACTCTGTCTCTGTCTCAAAAAAATAAAATAGAATAAATAAAAAGTCTTAGCTACCCCAGACAGCTTCCCTTGCCCTTGGTCCTTGCGCAATATGACAACCTCATTTTTATTGATCTTTTTTAAAGTGATATTGTCCTGGGAGCTGTTCTGGCCTTCTCCCTCCCTTCTTCTTGCCCCAGGGAGAATAACTTACTTTTCCTTTCTACCCCACTACACACTCAGCTTGACGGCACTTCTACCCAACAATGTGGGGTTAACATGACTTGCAGCTACAGAGAAGTGCTTTCTTCCTCTTGGATGTTTTCATTTGGCTTTAGATGCAAGGAATTTATTTATTTATTTTTAACATTGCTCTAGATTTTGGCAAAAAAAAAGCTCATTGTAAATTACTCATATCTTCATTTTTTTTTCAATGGCCAACAAACAATAGATAATCAAGAGGAATTTCTGTTTCAGAGGTAAAATGAAACCTGAACATGTTTTAGGATGGGAGGCCCTGATGTTCTCTACTTGCCTTCATAAATAAGAACCATCTTATTTGTAAGCCTGCCTCTAAAGGGGATAAGAAGATAGTGTGCCTGATGGATGCCACTGGTCCGTGTCCCATTCCCACCAGTGTTGAGACTAGTATTCTTTTCTTACACAGGGTTACGATAGCTTAATTTGTTCCCAGAATTTCTCTCTTCCCTGCCAAGAATTTCCTGCGAGGCACTCTTTCAGTGATGGGAAGTGGAGTTACTTCTCCTTCTATCCCTTCCTTTCCGGGTTCTTGCATTTCTAATGGGGATGCAGTGTCAGACAAACAACTTTGATCAATGCATATATTGCATGCTGGAGGATGGCAGTTTAGCCCTGGGGTGTTCTACCTCGGAGCTGGCACTTCACCTGTGCCCTGAGCAGGCTGCTCCAGTGTTCTGTCTAGAAAGCAACTTCTGGACAGGATAGTGCAGTACGCATCATGTGACAAGTAGATCCCTTGACAACAGACCCATTCCCATGCCTCCTTTGCTATAAAGTAGGTTTAGTGTTCTGATACAATGTTACATGGGATCCTGAACCAGTGTAGCAACACTTCGATAAACCTTAAATAGTGGTTCCACCTGAGATCCTGTGAGCAGAAAAAGGCAAAGCCACAATATGAACACATATTTATTTCTGTGAGACATAACCACGGGCCCTTGAAGAATGAAAGGGATTTGATGTGGTCACCTTGCCACCAGATAGAGAGCTGGTCTCCTTGAAGAATGGCACCATATCGGGGCTCACCATTGGTCTCTCTTCCTCACAGGTTGAACATTCAGTGACAACAGTTACTAGATAAGTCCATAAGAGTCCAGGCCATTGGGCCCATGCATAGTCTCCATCTCTGCCACTGTGACCAATATATCCATGTGCTCATCATGCCATAGGAGCAGTCAATGATAAAGGTTGGCTGATGTCAACTGGCCCATTAATTTTGTCTACTTGTTGAATTAGTACTCCTTCAATGTGGATAATTTCGGGCAGGTATTTACATGTGATGCAAATATCTTTACATTGTGGACCCACTCCCAAATATCCATATGCCTCTATCCCAGACCTCTTTGAACCCCGCCTTCCAATTTTTTTCCCATTTCAAGTCCCTGATCAATTAACCAGTCCATTTGCAGCTGCCCATGAGTGTATTTATAGTTGAACCTCAGGTCATTTCTCTTGCCTCCCAGAATGAATGATCAGGTGCATTGCCCAAAGCTCTGCCCACTAAGGGGGTTTTCCCTCAACACTATCTTTCAAAGATACCTCTCATGATTGTTACACATCTACATACTTAGCTGATTTCATCAATAAGCCCAGCTCTGGCTTTTTCTTCCTCCTGGTTAGACAGAATTACTCCCTATAGGGGTAGGCATAAACTGAGGGATAGGTGCTGGTGTAACAGTGCTGGATGCCGTTGAGGTCTGGGCTATCTGCTCATTGCTTGTGCTCTCGGTCCTGCTCTTGTTGGAACCCAGATGAACCATCTTACAATGAAGTGTTGCTGAGTCTGCCCTGACATATGACTTGGGGGGTCTGAGAGGCCCCAGCCTATCATGGGCAGTCTGGTCACACGGTTACCGGGTGTCTGTGGCCAGGCATCTTGCTTCCACTAGGGCTCAGTAGAACATCAGGAGAGGTTTTTCAAATGACATGTCATTCTCTGCTGCAGAAGACATATCTTTGCTCCAGAACAACAGGGGACTGCATTGTGATTCTCCCATTGGGCTTCCCCCAAACTCCATGTGGCACCTTTTCCTACCACTGATACCTCCAACACAATAGGGTCTGCCAGATTATATGGCCCAAATGGCAGCATTGCTTGCATTACAGCCATGACCTGAGTCCTTCCTAGAAGGTCATCACTTGACCCAAAATATGGGTGGGAGAAGTATCCCACTTTTTACCACGTTAAGATGAGGGAAAAAAAATGCATCTTAGAATTGATGATGGTGCAATAACTAATTTTGTGTGTCGACTTGACTTGGTTATGGTTCCCAGTTGTTTAATCAAACACTAGTCTGGCTGTTGCTGTGAAGGTAGTTTGTAGATAATACTGTTTACAACCAGTAGATCTTGAGTAAAGCAGATGATGCTCAATAATGTGGGTGGGCCTCATCCAATCAGTTGAAGGCCTTAAAAGCAAAGACCAAAGTTTTCCAGATAAAAAGAAATTATCCTTAAGCCTGTAACCTAGAAATTCTGCCAAGATTTCTAGCCTGATGCCCTGCCTGTCCTACGGATTTCAGACTTGCTGCCTCTCAATTTGCATGAGCCAATTTCTTAAAATAAAATAAATATTTTACCTCCCTGCCCATATATTCTATTAGCTATGTTTTTTGGACTAGCACATATGGTATATATGTCTTTATGGAAAAGAGTAAAAAAGAAATCTGGGATGAAATAGATAACTTTCTAGAAAAACAAAAATAAAAAAATTGACTTAGTAAAATAATAAAATGACAATGTCTGAGTAGATTAAAAGAAACAAAGAATAATGGAAAACATGACTAAAACAACACAGTAAGAACTTGTCTTCCAAAGTGCATATACAGTTTTATGGACCAATTCTATAACATCTTCATAAGTACAAATGGGTAATTCCTATCCTATTAAAGTGTTTCAGAGCGTGGAGTAGGATAAAAAGTTTCCAATTTTATTTTATGGAGGAAGCATAACCTTGATACTAAAATGTGCCCAAAAGGGTACATCATTAATAATAACAACAGCAACGAAAACATCTACAGATGAATCCTGCTGATGAATAGAAATATGAATTTTGAGTGATTTCTGATAGGTCCTCTCTAAAGCATAATCTTAATAATACAAAGTTTGTTTCAAGAATATAGATTGGTTTGATTTCTAATAATGTAATTTGTTTTGTTAACAAGTCAAAAGGAATACCATATCATTATGTTCTATAAGGATATTTTATAACAGTCAAAAGCTATTCTTGGTTTCTTTTAAATACTCTTAATAAATTAGGAATTAAAATTTAATTGAATTATAAACATGAATTCAAGGCCAGTTGGATAATTCCACATCCAAGGCCTGTTGGATATCCATAACCCTGTTGGATAATTCCATAGCATTGTGCCACTAAAGTAATCACAGAGCTTGTATATGCCTACGTGAGTGTGAGTCCATGAAAACCCACACAGGAAAGCATTTTTTGTTTCTCCGTTGCCTGCTCAATGGTTGTTGCACAGTAAGGGATGATGTGATGGACAGCCCAGGAAACCCAATAGATTGCCATCCTTCCTTTCTTCTTGAGTGGCCTTCATTGCTGCCCCTGCTGAGTTGCTTTTGATTCAGTGAGTTACTACCCTTTATTACAAAAATCTGAGTGTGGTAAAAAGGAAACGCTTGATTTTAAGAATTACTGGCTGTCATCTGTCCAAATGCATAACGATTTTTTTTAAATCTCATTGAATTTTTTGTCATATTTATTTTAGATATCTCTTCCCAAAACTCATTTTCTCATGTTACAAGAGGTTCTTCCACAGCAGAAGAATATAGTAGAATGATAGAATTCACAATGAACTGGATGTAGTTCGTATGTGTTTCCCCTCCAAATCTCATGTTGAAATGTAACCCCCAATGTTGGAGGTGGGGCCTGGTGGCAGATGTTTGGAACATGGGGATGGATCAGGAGTGGCTTGGTGCTGCCCTTGTGATAGTGAGTGGGTTCTCGTGAGATCGGTTGTTTAAAAGTGTGTGGCACCTCTCTGCTCTCTCTCTTGCTTCTGCTCTTGCCATATGCCATGCTGGCTTTCTGTTGCCTTCTGCCATGATTGTAAGCTTCCTGAGGCCTCACCAGAAGCAGATCCCAGCACCACACTTCCTGTAAAGCTTGCAGAATCATGAGCCAATTAAACCTCTTCTCTTTATGAATCAGCCAGCTTCAGGCATTTCTTCATAGTCACACAAACATGGACTAACACAGAACTGTTAGAAAACAGATGCTTCTCTGAAGTAGGAGGTTTCTGGTCATTTGCCTCTGAATGTAAATAAGAAGTCCTCTCCTCTATTCCATTTTGAACAATTTAATACGTTGTTAATTAAAGTAATGATATACTAATCATGGCTTACTCTCCTTTCATGCTGAAAAATGATTTCTTTTCTATTCCCCTAAAAAAACTTTGAAATGAATGAAAATGGGGCCAAAATGGAATCTTTCTAATTTATTCCCTCAATATATTCTGCATTTGAAACTTCAGTAACTCTCTGAAGTAAATATTTGAGTATGTTTCTGTGTCCATTTCATTTTCTTTAAACTGTGCTGATGACCTTTGAGGCTAGAGAAGTGAGCTATAGACATGAAGACTTTGTAAGCCAGTGGTATATCTGGAACCAAATGCGAGTGTAGACATGACTCTGAGATACCTGACCACCTCCAGGTTATTGCTTAATGGCATCTTGTTTATGCCACTTGGCTCCTTTGGATGGGTCCTAGTCCTACCACTTAGATGCCAATTTCACGGATCAGCACCTCCACCACCACCAATCCCTCACTTCAACTCCAAAGCCTCTTTGAGCGTGGTGGAGTTTTGGAAGCTGTGGAAAGTCTGATGAGAATGAATGGGGGTTCACACTGCTGCGTGGTCCATCTCTGATTGCTCTTCAAACTGCCTTCTCCCTGCTGCTGACAGTGCTTTTCTTTTTAATTTCCTTTCTTTTCCTCTTCTTTTTTCTCCTCATCTTTTCTTTTCCTTTCTTTTTTCCTTTTCTCTTTCCTTCCTCCCTCCCCTTCCCTTTTTATTCTTTCCTATTTTTTAAACATCAGATCATAGGGCTGCATAGCTTAATAAGTCAAATAGCTACTACTTCTTCCCCATTTTCCTTTCCCCAGAAACAACGAATTTCAACCCTTTTAGCTGATCCTTTTGGTATTTACCTTTCTCTGAGGAAAGAAACTTATATCAATATTTCTCATTTTATCTTAATATTAGGCATTATTCGTTGACTTCATACAGTGCAGGATGAGGGCTTACTTATTTTTTTAACACCCTCCTGTCCTACTACACGTAAGCACACCTTTAGGCTCTTTTTTAAAACATTTGCTCAGCTTTCTAGGTACTTATCACCAATTATGCTACAACTCCCCCCCGGCCATAGAAATCTTCTCTCATTATCCTTAAACACGTTTGCAACTCCGTGGATAAGTGCTTGAAGGGATGGATACCTCATTCTTCATGATGTGCTTATTTCACATTGTATGCCTGTAACCAAACATCTCATGCACCCCATAAACAAACACATCTACTATGTACCTACAAAAATTGAAGCAATCCTCAGACACATGAGAAAGTTTATCAGCTTCATCTTGAGCCCATCTGTGGAGCACTCTGACCTGCTGCTAACTGCACTGATGCCCACCCGTCCAGCCACAAAGCTACCATTTTTGAACCATTTGTTGCCTTTTGGGAACTACCCTTGGCTCGTTCTTGTTTCAGCTCTCTGGTTTCCCAGACCCTAGTTTATGTCTTCCCTCTCCCCTTTTTTTGTACTTTAATCCTTATTTTATGGAACACATCCTCCTATAACTTTATGAAAAGATGTAGTAGGAGGTACATCTTTGGAGAACTTACTTGTCTGAAAATATCTTTATTCTATCCTCATACTTGATTAATGCTTTGGCTGTTACTGTATTCTAGGTTGGAAATAATTTCCCATTAACACTGTGAGGGATTTGCTCCAGTTTACAATATTGCTGGTGAGAAGTTGGATGGCATTTTGATCTTTTGATGCTTTGTACCATATCTATTTTTTTGTTTATTTTCTTCCTGAATCTATTTTCACCATAGTGCTGGACATTCAATGGTTCTTTCCAATTTGTAAACATGTGTTCTTCATTTTTTGAAAAACCTCTATTGAATTTTTTTTGGATGATTTCTTCTCCATTTTCTCTGCTCTGTCTTCTGGAACTATTATTATTTGGACATTGGATCTTGTAACCTGTCCTCTACTTTATTTATTTTAATCTTCCTATCTCTTTCTCTCTTCCTTCCTTCCTTCCCTCCTCTACCTTTTAGGAGATTTACTCAGTGTTTAGATTTCAATGTTCTATTAGATAGGATAGGTTTGGCTGCTAAAGTTGAGACATAGTGGCACGCACAAGTTCCTTCTCTCTACATAACAGGCCAGGCATGAGTGGTCAGGGCTGATGTCATGGCTTTGAGGTATCAGGGACCCAAGTGCCTCTACCCTGTAGCTCTCCCGTCCCTAAGGTGCTGGTCTCTTTGGTGAAGTTCAGGGTGTTCCACTACCATGTCCATATTCTTGCTCTTGGTTAATGGGAGGACACAACTTAGATGCTGCACACATTATTTTTGTTTACATGCTCTTGGTCAGAGCTTAGTCACCTCACCGCTTCTAACTACGGGGGAGCTGGGATGTGTGGTCTTTATTCTTGAATCTCATGTTCCCATCTAAAAATCGTGGGTTCTATTACTGTAGAAGAAGGGGGAGAATAGATATCAAGTGATCACTGAGTGTCTCTGTCACAATTCTCACTTTTGGTAACCCAAATATCCATGTACTTTCTTCCCCCACTCTCAAACACATTCACACCTTCCTAAGAAAGAGAACTTGAAAATCAAATTCACGGACTGCATCCCACTTAATAAGGTTCCTGCCTGCCGGCCCACCTTCACTCAATGCCCTGTGGAACCAGGATACATGAGCAGATAACCTCAGCAAAACTCCCACTGAAAAGGAGAATGGAGAAACCCACAGGAATTACTGTCCATTGTGATGCTCAAATCCTACTGGAGAATACGTGTTGGTGAGCCCTCCTGGCTACACCTGCTCTATGGAGGTGCAGTGGGCTGGGCTCTTTGCAATGAGACTCTGCACTCTAAGAGATGCTTCCTTGCCCATGATCCTCTATGGCCATATGGAGCATGTGCCCTGGAGACCATGCCCTTCTTTGGGACTAATGGCTTTTGTAGTCCATTTCCTGCAGGTTTGGAGAATCAAGAGTTTCTAACTGGTTAGAGAGTCACAGGCTTTTACAGATCAATTTGTATTTCTTTGGCAATGCAATCTACTCCAAAACATACACATCTTTCAGTCTATTTTCTCTAGCCAGTTCCATGTGTAGGAAACAGCCAGGAGTCTTATCTGGACAGTTTTTGAGCTTGATCTCTCGTGTATTTTTTGCCCCAGGCTTCTGTGTTCTTCCCATCTTCTCTTTCTCTCAATATAATAGTGGCCCCTTGAGGGTGTCTGAAAAAATGGGCTTGGGTGGAAGGCAACACTTGTATTCTGATTTTTGCCTGCTGGGCTGGCTTCCCTGATCTACCCAAGAACTCTTCAGGAGAGGTAACTGAGACAGGATTGGGGTCAGGCTTTTCTTTGCTGAGGCTCTCCCTCTTTAGAGCCACCCTGCTATCACTGCTTCATCTTGGGTCACAGAACCATTTGGCATTTTTCAACCCTGCAAAGCTGCCAATGCCCAGACTCTTAGCCAGCAGAGACTGCAGGCTGCAGAGGAGAAAGCTCACTTACCAGGGTTGCATTTCCTTCCATCTCTGTTTCATTTCCTCTCTCTCGCAGGCTTTTCTGAAAGGAGCAATGAGCAGACAACACATCTCAGCAGGACACAGTGTGGTGAGGCCAGGTTCATTGCCCCAGTGATGGGAAGGGCTTGGAAGGCAGGGCAGTGGGCCCCTGAAGGGGAGGCTGCATCATCCCACTGGCAGCTCCTGAACTTCTGTGTAGGAGGGGTTATGGGTAGGAAGACACTAGGGCACTTGTCTTGTGACTGTGTCTCAGAGTGGCATGGTGTGCAGTAGTCACTGCAGGGAGTTCTGGAGGAGTTGCTGTGGATTATGGGGGTTCAGCTCCCCCTGGGCCAGCCTGTGCTTTCTCTCTGGGCTAGAGCAAGGGGGGCACCTAAGATGATTAAGAGGAAGCTGGATCTTAGGCAGGTGATTAGGGCCAACCTCATGGTTTTGCCTGGGATCTGCTTTGTTTCCAAATGGACACAGGCAGAGAGAAGCTGTTGCAGAACTGTTTTTGTCCTTGAGGGTGAGTGAAGCTTAGCAGAAAAATTAGTCCCCTTCCCTATCTATGAATTGCTCCCCCATTGTTAATGCCTGTTTTAACTGGAGCAGGTCAGTGCGGGTCAGGAGGATTCATGATTTTATGGTGAATGAACTAGAACAGATATGGGATTACTGGCAGGAATTCAAAGCTCAGACACTTTCCTCAGACCTCTGACTTGCATAATGAAAATTCAGCTGCTCAATTCAATTGGGAGCCAGGTAAACAAGAGAAGGAAGGGTGAATAGGAAAAGGTAAATTAAATCATGAAGCAAATGTCAAGTAGAGGTAAAAGTAGAAGTTAGGCCTGACAGGGGGATGATTTTTGATTCACAATCAGTATTTCCTCCTACATTTCTGATGGGATCAATTTGGTAAGTGGAGGCTGCTGCCTGATGGAATTTGTAGAATCAGTTGGAGAAGGAAACTCCTGTAACCTCTCCCGCTGAGGAAGGACGCGCATCTGGTCTTTGTGGACTTCCCGGCTGTCCTTCCGCCTCCTGTTCCTGATGTGTTTGAAATCCCCAGCATTAACTGGGATTCCCTTCCATCACCGTGCAGCCTTGTTCAGTTCTGCTAGGGGATCAGTTCTTAGCACAAAATAACCCAGCCGTCCTCCACTGCAGCCTCTGGGGACCGGGGACACGGCAGTTTTATTTGTTGACTTCCAACTTCAGTCCTGAGCGGTGGGCTTTAGAACGAGCCTGGCTGTCTTTTATTCTTGTGTAGACTGGTTTTCCTCTAAGACCAGTGTCTCCCAGCCCTAGCAACTCCCTCCTCTGCTCCCGTGGAAAGCCTATGGCCCTGGGAGGGAACGCGTGTGACAAGGACAGAAACCCAGCGTCCAGCCGCAGTGTGTGCGGTCCCCTGACACAGAGATGTAGATTCAGTGACAGAGCCCAGGCCACTGAGCCATTTCCCTCTTTACTCCTGGGCTCGGGAGTAACATATTCAAGGGACCTCTAAACAGAAATATTGGTTAGTCTGTGGATTTGAAGCAAAACAGAGAAAGGGCTTGCCCAGATTCCTCCCCGTGCTTCACGGCAGGACCCAGAGTCCTCAGGCCCTTCTGGACCCCCGCCGGCTTCATTCCTAGACACTGAGCCATGGTCCCTGCCCTCTGGTTGCAGGGGTGACATGGGCATATAGAATGACAAACTCCAAAGCTGACTCAAGGCCACGTGGGGCTGAGTGTCCAATGGAAAAGGAACAGGAGGGTGGCCCGGGAGGTGGTGCAGAGCCCAGCGCTAGGGCCAGTGCACTGGGGTTTCAGCACCCGAATGGCTGCTTATCAGTGGTGACCTTGGGTATGTCCATTGTCGTCTTAGTGCCTCAGTTTCCCCAACTGAGAATGGTAGCTAATAATAGTACCTACAACGAGGATTCGATTAGTCCTTCCCAGAAAGCCCTAAGCAGAGTGCCTAGCTCACAGAAGCTGTTCCGATAAAGGCTAAACTGAAGAGCCTCCTTCCTTGACCTATATGGCTTCTATAAGTTCATGGGAATGAGCCCTCTCCTCTGGTTGGGCCGAGCAGAGGAGGCTCCATGGAGGAAGAAGGATCTAAACTGGGCCTTGGGAGATGGTTAGGGTTTTGTTAGGTGAGGAAGACAAGGGAGGGGGCTCTGGGAGGGAGAACTGCGAGAACAAGGCCTGGAGGCAGGGGAGGTGGAGGGGCCGCTTGCTTGGAGTTGGGGACTCAGTGCTGTTGGGTCGCCCACTCCTGATGGTCACCTTTCTGGGTGAGGAGCTGGTCTGGATGAATCCTGAGAATGAATCACGAAAGGATGCCATAGCTTCTTATGGAAACTCCACTGGCATGTGGGCATGGGAGCCAAGTTCATGTGCCGGAGAGAAGCCGCCAGGGCTGGCTGCGGCAGAGAGTTTATTTTGGACAAAAGTGAGGGACATCAAAAGCAAGCTCGAAGCAAGCAATGGCTGAAGGCAGGGAAGGAAGGTATTATCAAATGTCATCATGGGGACACCGTGACTGCCAAATGCCAGTCAGATCTGAGTCAACATTGGGATATTTTGGGGTCATTATAAAGACTCTGAAGGCTCAATGGTTTTTCTCGCCAGGACACAGTCCTTGCATCCTGCCTGAAGGCTTTCAGGTCATGCCCTTTGCTGAGCCCTCCTATGTGCCCACCTTAATGTCGCTGTGTCTGGAGACCCCCCATTGCTGGTTTGAGACAGCTCCCTCTTCCTTCTACCTGAGCAGTCCTCCTTCTGCAACCAAGATGAACACTCTCACCCACAGTTACAGCCTTCCCACAATGAGCGTATCCCCCATTGCTCCTGGGCTCCTCCACCAGCCTTAGGCCTCATCCCCTCTTGGGATCACTGATGGCTCCTTTTCAATGATAGGAAGAAAGCTGAATCCCTGTGAATATGGTCTATATGGCATTTAGCAGCTTCCTGGGAAAGAGGGGGTACAAGTGGTCAGGACTATTCCTGGATTGCAGCCTTGAAACTAAGGGACATAATTGCAGAATCTAATTTTTGGCTGAGATTTCTCTAAGTGCCATATTTAATGTGACACCACTCTGTGGGGGTTGCTCTCACCCTTGGTTGGTCAGAGGTATCTGGAATACCCAGAAGGTTCTCTTGAACTCCAGAGAGAAGCGAGGGCCTTCTTGGGGCAGATTGGACTTCTGGATTTGGGCCTGATGGAGACAGCACTTCCAGGGTCAGCAGATACAGGCATTCTGGAGTGGGCTGAGAAGCATCTTGCCCGCTTGCAAAGTGGCACCCATTTCCACGGGCTGACAGAGTCCTATGCGGCAGAGGGACGGTGTCCTAGCAAATGAACGAATTTTGGGTGAAACACAGTTCTTCACAAACTTTAAATGCAAGAAGTTAAAGACTGACCAGTTCAGATAGAATTGGCTTAAAGAAGCAGACTGGATACCCGGCTCAGAACCTGCAAGCATGAGGATGCAGCAGGGCTGGACCAGGTGAGCGTCTCTGCCCCCAACCCTTATGAGTCAATCTTTCAGGGCACAGCAAAGCCTTCATCAGTCTTGGTTTCTCTTGGGATTAAAAGTAAATTATGTAATGGATTTTGAGTATATGGTCTCTAGTGCCCTAATTTCTCTTGAAGGAGAGAAATTATCCAATAGGAAGGGAAATTGACAAAAAGCCTGCATTGACTCCATCAGTTAATCAACAGGGATATATCGGCAAGGTGATTAACTCTACTAGAAGACCACAGCTCTGGCCAATTCTATTTTAAATCCAAGTAAGGGTGGTAGAAAATGTATATTTTCAAGTCTGGCCTAACAGTTATATACATACACAGATTTCATAGATTGATGCAAAGAAAAGGTATCTGGGGAGAGGCAGTTTGTGTCATTTATTCATTTCTTGAAAAATTGAGTGTTTGCTGTGTCCAAGCCACCATTTTTAGCATTTTGGGACACACACTTTACACCCAGAGACACACACAGACACACACCCAGAGACACTCATACACACAGACATAGGCTAATACATACAGAGTCACACTCACACAGACACACCCAGAAACACTCATACACACACACACAGTCACACACACAGAGTGACACTCACACTGATACACACACAGACACAGTCACATACAGACATACACCCAGAAACACTCATACACACACACACACACACAGAGTCACACACACAGAGTCACACTCACACAGATACACAGACACACAGACACAGTCACATATAGACATACACCCAGAAACACTCATACATACACACACACACACACACACACACAGAGTCATATACAGTCACACTCAGACACACAGACAGGCACAGTTAAATACAGACACACACCCAGAGACACATACACACTCATAGACATACACTAATACACAGTCACTCACACACACACACACACCCAGAAACACTCATATACACACACACACACTGTTATACACAGAGTCACATACAGACACACAGACATACAGAGACATACATATACACACGTACACACTTATTCTCTGCCCTTCAGGAATTTTACATCTCTGTAAAAATTTTGACCTCTCAAGCAAATGCACAACAGCAATTTAAAACAATTTGGTTGTAGGGCAGAAAAGTGTGCTCCCTGTCTTTTGGGAGACTGGCCTGGGGAAGAAGATAATTGGGGCTAAGACCATCTATTAGCTTCTACTCCAGTGCATGTGTGGTGCTCATCAAGTGAAAAACCACCCCCTCCAGGCCCCGCCCCATGGTCCTACTGGATTATATAATGGACCTCAATAATTCCAAATGAGCTATTATACTCTGCCATATAATTATATATTTAGGACACATGTAGGGTTAAAAAAAGAAATCCACAGGAAAACACTGAAACAAATTGCAGAGCAATTTCAGTGACTGATTATATTTAAGCTGCAGTGTGTCAGCTGTTCTCATATTTTTTTTTCAGAGTTCCCAAATCCGTTAGACAATATTCTGAAGCTATCAAACACTGGTCTTTATTTTTGAATCAAAGTCATTTTAGAAACCACGTCCCTGATCTTTTCGAGACTCATAAAATATAAAAATGGCATCTCATTTTTTTTTTGGACAAGCTTTTTATCTTCTTTGTCCTCTTCAGATAATAAAAATACTAACAATAACAAATAAAAGCAGTTGTCATTTACCGAGCTCACGTTCTCTGCCAAGTACTGTGGTATGTATTTTATATCAACTCATTTTAGTTTTCACAGCAAACTTAGGAAGGAGCCATGAGTTGTATGAAGTTCCTGTGGTTGAGGAAGTTTAAATATCATGTTTAAAGACACACAACTCATAAATGATGAAGTTATTACTAGAACTGGGCTAATCTATTCTTATAAGTTTTAGCAAAATGACAGCTATAAATTTCCATTTCCCAGAGTATTTTCATATGTGTTGTCTCATTGATTTTTCACAGTCCTGAACATAGATCAAGGCTCAGTAGAGTGTGGTTGCGATTTTACAGAGGGAAACCCAAGGCTCAGAGAGGTCATGATTTACCCAAACACAGCTCACTTCCAATAGGGCTGCTGAGGCCGTGGCCACGCTCTGCACCAAACAAAGCCAGTGTGCAAATTGGGCCATTGGACCCAGCTCCAGTGCTCATTCACAATCCCACACTGAAAAAAGCAAGAGAACAGAACGAACGCACATGCAAAACCACCTATATGGCATCAAGGAGGTCTTTTTCCTCAAGTATGAGCTAGGCTTTTCCAGCCTGGCTGGAAAGCCTAGCAGAGAATGGGATTCTCTGCTAAGGTCAACAAGATGCGGCGCAGCCACTACCTACGAAGCTGCTTAGCACGCCCCACTGTGTGCCTGCCCAGGGGAGGACACGCAGCCCTAGGGGTCTGCTTATGATTTCTGCCCCTGCTTGTCTCTGCTGCTTGCAGCCAGCGCTGGCTGGACATGGAGAGCCAGCACCGAGTTCCATTGCTTCCATTTGGCACCAAGTGCCTGATGGAGCTGTCCACTCTCAACAAGAAAGGGGCCTGAGGTGTTGGGGCAGAATGAGGGTCCTCGCTTGAGCTCACCTTGACTCTTCTCACAGGCCAGGCCATGAAGGGAAGGGAAACGGAGCAAAGCCAAGAGACAGGGAAAAGTGTGGGGGATAACCTGGGGGCTGGAGGGCTGGTTGGGGGGTGCAAGGGGCGGTCGCGGTGAAATCTGGCCTTACGGGCACGGTGCTAGTGGGGAGAACGTTAAAGGAAGTCACTTTAATCTTCAGAATGAGCTCAGAGGTCCACAGGGTGGATATGGAACCCCTATTCATTCATTTAATATATGATTAGATGTCAGTGTTGTTGGAGTTACATTTTAGGAAATGACTATTCATAATGGAAGTCCTGGCACGGTTTCTTTCTAATCAGCAAAACGGGGTGGTGGGCTCAGCTGTGGCACCCTCGCAAGAGGCTCTTAATTTACGAGTGATGTTAAATTATGCTGGCTGCCAGATAGTCAGATACGGGAAGTGATACAATAAGTCATTGGGGATGTGCTAGTTCTTCTTTTTTCATTTGACAACCACAGGAAGTGGCCATTAGCCAAGCCATCTGAGAGAAAGCATCTGATTGCTCTGCTACGTGCACAGTATCTTGAGTAACTGCAAAAGCCTGAGAGGAAGGACTGCAGGGGGTGGGGATGAGAAGCAGGGTGAGGGGGAGGATAGAGATCTGGGGGTCAGGGCCCTCAGAAGCTAGCATCAGGACAGCTCATGTGGCTTGTTTTTCGCAGGCTCCCCAGGGACTATTCCAGGTTGGGCTAAGCCTAGTCAGGTTTGTCAAAGCCCTACAAAAATAGTTCATGTTATTTCTGTGGCAAATCATGCACAAAGAACTTATGAATAACTAATTTCTTACTTGGCTCTTTTCTAGAAAGGGTAATTCAATACAATGCGCTTTCCAGTCTGTCACAACTGCACGAGGGCAGAGGCAGATTGCAGGTGGGGCAGGACTTCGTAGCCAGGACAAACTTGACTGCAGAGGGTAGCCTGTTCCTCAACCTTCTGAAGCCCTGACTGAGACTTGAAACTGTAGAGAAATTAGCAGGATTCTGGGGAGAACAGAGTCTGGAGAGAACAGAATGGAGTGTGCATGTTTGAAGATGTATAGTTTCTAACAGCAATTTCAGTGCTTGTAGGCAATTTATAAATATTCGAGAAAGATGCTACCATACTTGGCTGAAAGGCTGACGGAGATGGTATTAGGTAACGGAAGTTACAGACAGTGGATGTATGAAGCTGATATTATAGGAGTCCCCTTTCCATCTGGGCAGTATGAACAGGTTGCAACTTACCCTCCTAGTTAGATCCTAGCCGTCTTAGCTTCCTTTTCTGGCATGGCCAGCCATTGCTTTCTGACCTCTTTGAAATAAATACTTTTATGCCCATAAAAAGAGTGTTTTTTTTTTGAATTAAGAAAAAAAGACTTTGATTGGATGGTTTCTAAGCTTTCTTGCACATCGGAGTCACTGGGTGATCTTGATAACATTCCAGTGCCTTTCTTTTCTTTTTTTTTTTTTTTTTTTTTTTTTGAGACAGAGTCTCGCTCTGTCGCCCAGGCTGGAGTGCAGTGGTGTGATCTTGGCTCACTGCAAGCCCCGCCTCCCGGGTTCACGCCATTCTCCTGCCTCAGCCTCTCCGAGTAGCTGGGACTACAGGCACCCACCACCATGCCTGGCTAATTTTTAGTATTTTTAGTAGAGATGGGGTTTCACTGTGGTCTCGATCTCCTGACCTCGTGATCCGCCCGCCTCGGCCTCCCAAAGTGCTGAGGTTACAAGCATGAGCCACCGTGCCCCGCTTTTCAGGGCTTTTCAAAGATCATTTTCTCCAACTCAATGTCCCTGCATTTTCCAGAGTTTGTTTGTTAGCATTGGGTAGCAGTCAGACTGGTTATTTTGCTGTAACAAACGACCGTGATATCTCATGTTGGAGGGGCAAGGAAGCACAAGCCCATCTTATTCCCAGAAGGAAAGCCAGAAATATTTGTAGGAAAGTGATAGCTATGCCACAGGGATTATTGATTTTGCATTCTAGATTCTTTTAGTTTGAGTAATTCCTTCCAGAATTTTTTGTCTTATAATTTTGAGAATTAAGATATTAATTTTGCTGCCTCAAAATGGAAATGCTTTCTGGAACCAGGAAGGCAATACCTCTGGTTTTCTTGGACACTTTTGTGACCATTTTCTTAGTTTTGATTACTTCAGCAGTTAGGATTTTTTTAAACAAACAAACAAATCAAAACAATAAATCCTACTGGTAGATCTGACATAGCTAGTGATTTTTGCACAAGGGCAAAGGAAATCAAAGAGCATAGAGCCTCTGTATGGTTTTGGGAGAAGGTAATCTTTCCTCTTGGACTTGCACCCTCCATCTTATTGGCCAGGGTTATGGGCCATGGCCACCTGGGTTGCAAAGAAGCCTCCCTTGCAGAGGAAGGGAAGGAGAAGGGAGAAATGTAAATGGCTTTGGTGGAACCAATGCACAGTGTGAACCCTCAGGAGTAGGCAAAACATGTGCTGTAAACTCCAAGTCTAGGCTTTGGGCTATTGTCCCTGATAGTTCAATAAAACTCTCTAGTTAATCCCTAATAAATTTGTGACTGGAATGGCCTGCAGGTTTTAAGCCATGAAAACAGTTAAATGACCTCACATTGCAGTGTGAGCATCCATTCGGTAACCTGGGTCACTCCTTACCGTTTACCCACACCTAGATTTTGGGTCATGGTGAGCTAAGCAGAGTTGGATAGAAATTGAATATCAAAATGGAAAATGTCTATACCAAAGTGATCCATCTGATGAAATTACAGTTCAGAGACATTTTATAATAGAGCTACAGAATATTGAGGCTGGATGGAAAATGTGCAATGGAGCAGTTACAGTTCGGCATCCTCTGCTGAAGTGAAGCAGAGAATTAAGACAATTACCTAGTACTTCAGGCAAGAAGAGGTAGTGCTTGTCTTTCTGAAAATAACCTTCCTGAGTCCTATAGCTTTCCCCAGGCCACCAAAGATAACATGAGGCTATCCCCATATTTCCCCTGGACTATTGAGTTCATTCTGGAGGAAAATGGCTCTCAGGAGTTAATGGCATTAAGATGTGGTCTGGGCTTTTGGCTGGTAGATCTTCAGTGAAAGCAGATGGCCACAATGGTATTAAAACTAAAGACTGCAGTAAAGCTTTTAATTGAAAACAATTGGACCCTGCTGGATGGTAATTACCTTGGCTGCTTGCAAATAATATCCTGCCCCTGATGCCATGAAAGAAAAGCTGAGACGGAGTAAACAGGATCTGCTTGATGTGCATCTAATAAGCATGGAAGTCCCCAAACTACTTTCTCTAGGGGTCCTCCAGTAAAAAGAGTTAGAAATGAAGAGGAGAGCTTGCTGTAGCACAAATTGTAAAGACAAAGCGTTCATTTAAAAAACAACCGAATGGGTCCATATTTACTTGGAGAAAATTGGAGTTCCATACCTTCAGGAAAAAAAAAAAAGATACTTTAAATGCTTCTTTCTTTTCTCAGTTAATGATAAACGCTAATGAGGAAGATGTCTCATTTGGATGAGTTCCTTGTAGATCTTTGTGCTGCGATGCCTGAGAAGTCACAGGCATTGGGCAGTCGAGGCTGAACTGTAAGGTTCATTTTCCTCTTCACTTAAAGTTTTAACCTCTCGAAGCTACGATGGTTCAAATAATATTTAAACGTGGACAGTAGCTATGCAGGAGGCAGTGACGTAATAAAGTTCCCAGGGACTCAGGCTGGAGGTTAGATGCGTGGGCAAAGTTTGACCACAGGCTCCTTTCTAAAGAGTCTTAGAAGGGAAGACTAGGGGCGGGGTGGGGTGGGAAAGGTCTTAGGAAGCCAGGGGCTGAGTGGCTCCCAGAAACCACGCCTGAGATCTGAGTGGGTTCACTGCACGGGGCTGTAGCACCGCTGCTCCTGCGTGGCCTCCAGGTGGTCCAGGGGACCCCACTCACCTGCCAGGTGGGAAAGCCTGGCCTTTTCCTGGATCCTGGCTAGCACTGGGATTTACACGCCTGCTCATCACGCACTGTCAGGAGGCTGCTTCCCTGAACAGCCTTATCTCAGCAGTAAGGGGCACCCACCTGCCCACCCACCCAGGCTTGCCACGGTAAGTCGCCTCCACCTCCCAGCGGCTCCGCTGAGGCTTAGGGCGGGCACCCGGGAGGATGCTGGCCCTGCCCCCATTGACGTCATGCCACCATGTGACTCACTCTGACCAATGAGAGGCAAGCGGAAGTGACGGTTATTCCTCCTGCGCGGGAGCTTTGGGGACGCACTTCTGGATGCCTAGGCCTCTTCCGTTTGCCTCTGGGACTGGCGATACTCGAGGTAATGGCTACTGGGGCCAAGTCGTGGGCGACCTGCAGTGCATGGGTAGAGTAAGGTGCCTCCGCCCAGTCTAAGCAGCCCTCCCCAGAGCTGGTGGGTTCCCAGGAGTGATGCCTGTTTGTCAGTGAGGCCCCGCGGGGATGAGGACGGAGCATTACGCAGCGCACTGCGCCCCCTTGAACTCTGCAGATGCCAGGGTGAGATGGGAGCACCGCGCCAGTCCCAAGGCAGTGCTGGGTGGGCAGTGTGGGGCCTGGGACGTCTACCTTCAGGCCCTCTGACTCTCGCTGGATTCGCTGTTCCGGGCAGTGCTGCAGCGCAAAGGCGCCAGGCCTGGCGTGGAACCCGAGCCTGCGCAGGGCCGCGTCTGCGTTCACAGGGAACGGTGACCCCATTGTGGCAAAACATCTAACTTAGCTACACATACACGGTAATCGTTTATGGAGCAATAATAAAGCACAGAACACAAAATCCACGCGAAAAAGAAAATGTGCATACACGATTTCTTTATAAAAAAGAAACACTGGCCGGGCGCGGTGGCTCACGCCTGTAATCCCAGCACTTTGGGAGCCCGAGGCGAGCGGATCACGAGGTCAGGAGATTGAGACCATCCTGGCTAACACGGTGAAACCCCTTCTCTGCTAAAAATACAAAAAAATTAGTCGGGTGTGGTAGCAGGTGCCTGTAATCCCAGCTACTCGGGAGGCTGACGCAGGAGAATCACTTGAATCCGGGAGGCGGAGGTTGCAGTGAGCCGAGATAGCGCCATTGCACACCAGCCTGGAAGACAGTGTGAGACTGTCTCAAAAACAAACAAACAAACAAACAAACAAACACCAATAAAAGAAAAACTCCCTTAATTATACTTTGGGAGCTGGGCTTGGCTATTTCCTTCCTAGAATATTCTCCTATGTTCTCGGCAGTCTAAGTTGTGTGCTGTTATGTTTGGTGGACATCACTTTGTACTCACTACATTTAATAGGGGCACAATTCGTTGGATTTCCCGAGGTCTGATTAGTGATGGTTTCTGAAGCAGCTAGTTGATGTTCAGTTCTGGAAAGTTCTCCCTTATAGAGCAGCGGGAATACTTTCTCAGATACCCTGTTGCCTTTAATGGCTCCACACATGATACCATTCTCTGTTAAGCAGCAGGTGAGCAGGAGGGGCGCTGTACAAGTCATCAAGGTCTCTCCTCCAAAAGGCAAGATTCTCTTGTAACCATCTAATATATGGTCTTGACAGTTCAAAGATAAGAGTTCCCTGGGGCCTGAGACAAGCCTCTTCCTTTGGGGAGGAGCCAAGTTTTAGGAAATCTGCCTTCACATTAAAACACAGTTTCTCCTAGCAGCTCTGACTCGTTGGTCTGTGGGTCCTTGTAGAATGTCTCATCCCTCTTTATGTGGTACCTGTTTGAATGTTTGAAGGCAGTGACCCTCGTCCTCTGAGTTATTTTCTTCACGCCTTTTTTGAGCATGGGGTTGTGGTCTTTCTGCAGCCTTAGTAGTATTCCACTGGGGACCAAAGGGAGCCCATGCTTTGAATACAATTTTTGAATCATTCTATTCGTCCTGTTTAGCCCTGAACATTTCAATTTTGGTGGCAGTGCCAGAATATGCGAATAAAGGACTATAATACACTCCTTGATACTGGATTTTGTTTGAGAAGGATGTAATGGAAAAGCAAGTTAGCTTGAAACATCCCATAATTTTTCATGGGTAGTTACAATAACTGCTTGCTGTTGGTATTGTGCTATATAATTGCACAGTGTAATTGCTTCTTGTAGTCCTATAGTATCTGTTCTATAGCATTCTATTTTATAGGTATTTTTAAGGTGCATTTTTTATCGATTTGGCATATACACAGCAATAAACTGCTGTGGAATTGATTAGATAGTAGAGTGAAGCTGAAACATTTAGTGCATTGATTCTTAATCTGTAAAGATGTTTATTTGCAGTTCGGCATATATTTATTACTATAGTGTAAGTAATGTTAACATTAAAAAGAGTATTTGGGGTGTGTATGCTTCTAATAATAAATTAGAAGTTCCATTGTGTGTTAGTCCATTCTCGTATTGCTATAAAGAATACTTGAGACTGGTTAATTTATAAAGGAAAGAGGTTTAATTGACTCACAGTCCTGCAGGCTGTACAGGAAGCACGATGCTGGCACCTGCTCTGCTTCTGGGGAGGCCTCAGGAAACTTTTATCATGGCGGAAGGCGAAGGGGGAGCAGGTGTATCACATGGCCAGAGCAGGAGGAAGAGCGAGGGTTGGGGAGGTGCCATACACTTTTAAACCACCAAATCTCATGAAAATTCACTCCCTATTGCAAGGACAACACCTAGAGGATGGTGCTAAACCATTCATGAGAAATCGTCCCCCACGATCCATTCACCTCCCATCACACGCCACCTCCAACTTTGGGGATTACATTTCACCAGGAGATTTGGGCAGGGACACAGATCCAAACTAGATCACACCATTAGCCCTTTCCAGATGGTTCCCAGCTTAATGTAGGCCAATAGTAGAAAACCAAGTGATGACTAGAAGATCTCCTAGGCAGGGATGTTGATACCTTGCATGTTTATACCTTTTCCATGCCTTGCACAGTGCTGTGACAGTGTAGGATCATGACTAATGTTAGTTGATTGAATGACTCTAGGGAGGTTATTGTTGAGTCTTCCAGAACTAGTACAGTCAAGTGGTGAATTTTCTTCACCTTTATTTTCCTTGAGCAAAAATGAAATGATTCCTGTTGCCTCTTTGAGAATGAGCATCCTACTATAAAAGAGCATTTGTAGGCTTTCTCACTGGGTCCTTGCTAAAGATTTCCTGCAGTTCTTTTTCGTGGTCTTCTTTAGTGTTTTACTAGTGTTTTCTAATGACTGCTATAATATATATATATATGAATATTGTCTGTCTTTAGACATTAGTTTATTTTGACTCATTCCTGGTCCTTCTTTCCATTTTGCTTCTATTGGTGACCAATGATAGTATGTAGTTAGAATACTGAATTTAATTTTGGGGACGGATGGCACAAGGAGACTGGTAAGATGGAATGGAGGCTTGTTCTTTGAAATGACATTAACCTTTCAGGGTGTCAGGGAACTATTTAGTGCATTGATCCTTCAGTTTTTGAATTGTTCTCATTTTCTGTTTCCA
Source organism: Homo sapiens (assembly GCF_000001405.40). Lineage (NCBI taxonomy): Eukaryota > Metazoa > Chordata > Mammalia > Primates > Hominidae > Homo > Homo sapiens. The sequence continues at coordinate 163,674,858 of NC_000006.12, forward strand.
CATTTTGATCTGGTGAGTAAAGATCAGAGTGAAGAGGGGGAAGATGGGATGTGATTGGAGATGGGAAAGATGGATGGAAAGATGGCATGGGGAAAGTAGATCTAGTCTCTCTGGGTCCTGGCAAGCTCACAGATAGATGTGGGCCTATATATGGCTGAGAGAGCCTGATTTAGTTTATCACTATTAGAGGTAGTTGACTGAGGTAGCCAGGAAACGTTATTCATAGCTCTCAGTAAAGTGAATAATTTACTCCCCTTCCCTCTGATAGAATGAAATCTGTAAAGCCTTTGGGACTCTTTGGGTAAAGTGCTCTACAAACGTGTCAGATGAGTTTTGGTTTTATTACAGAGAAGCCTGGGATGGAAAATGGGAGTTAAGTTAAACATAAGGATTTGTTTCCTGAGGGAGCCTCTTTTAACATAATTATTTTTTAAAAAAACAAATACGTGATAAAAGAGTTGAAATCATCTACATATTATAAATTTGGTATAGTTATATTTTGAATGCAGGTGCAACTCATTTTTTGGTAAATAATTAATATTGTATCTGTAGACTTGCAAAATCCCATATTATCACTTGAATGCAATGATTCTTACGCATGGTCTCTTGCTGAACCTGTAGTTACTGGGTCTTACAGGTGTGCACAGCAGGCACACTGTACCAGTCACTGAGCTTTACTGGAAAATGGAAAAGCAAGTGGTGTGCATGTGTGAGTGAGTATGAGTGTGACTGCTACGGGAGGAAGGAGAAGTAAGGGCAGTGGTGGAGAGGGAGCAAAGGGAAAAAGAGAAAGAATTGGGATTCTTTAGAGGAACTGTCTCCAAGTTCTCCATTTCTTCCTTAAGCTGAGGTGCTCAAATTGAACATGGTGTTAAGAGTATGACCATTGTTATTGGCAACAGTGACTCATATTGAGGTGCCCATGTATTGTTGAATGGATGGGAACATGATGAGGAGCTAACAAAGCACTTTGTACTCTTTGAAGAATGGCATTATGTTAATGTCATCCAAAATAGAAGTGATATTCAAAAGAAGGAAATGAGAAAAGGCAAAATGATATTTAATAATAGGAGATGGCTTTGAATGAGTTTAGCATTGTGGCCTGGTAGCATAATTTTAAGTAGGTCAGTAAGATTTCTTTTCTTTCTTTTTTCAAAATTGCTGTTTTCTTATAGTTGCTACAATTGATTGTTAGTGTAATTGACCAAAAGGTATTCTTGGACACTGCATCAGAGTCATAACTTTAGAGGTCAGGTCTGGTCAAGTGAAGGAAACATTTGAACTAAATCATGTGTTATAATATACATAATGTATAATCATATATAATATTTATATATATAAATTCATATTTTGTGTATGACATATTATGTATACATATTATATGTATACATGTTATGTTACATATTCATACATAATACATAATTAATATATACATATATAATCATAAGGCTGGGCATAACAGGTGACACCAGCTGCAGGCCATTCATCCACCTGTCAGCCACCTCCCCAGGAATGATCCACTAGCACAATTATTGCTTCCTGTTCCCATGACATTATGTTCTGCTGGCCTAGAGGTCTTAGTTCAAGAGGGAGGAATGCTGTCACCAGGAAACACAACAATGATTCCATTAAATTGGAAGTTAAGATTGCGACCTGGCCACTTGGGGCTCCTCCTACTTCTAAATCAACAGTATGGAAGGGAGTTATAGTGTTGGTTGGGGTGATTGACCTAGACTATCAAAATGAAATCAGACTAATACTCCACAGTGGAGGTAAGGAAGAGTATGTGTGGAATACAGGAGATCCCTTAGGGCATCTCTTAGTATTACCATGCCCTGTAATTAAGGTCATGGGAAACCACAACAACCCAATCCAGGGAGGAGGACTACAGATGGCCCAGAGCCTTCAGGAATGAAGGTTTGGGTCACTCTAACAGGTAAAAAAAACCACGACCTGCTGAGGTGCTTGCTGAAGGCATAGGGAATACAGAATGGGTAGTAGAAGAAGGTAGTCATCAATACCAGCTACAATCATGTGACCAGTTGCAGAAACGAGGATTGTAATTGTCATGAGTATTTCCTCCTTATTTTGTTTAGAACATGTTTGTGCATGTATAGACTTGTACTAAGAAAATCTTTTATTTCCTTTATCATGTGACATAAGATTTATTGACTTCATATCAGCATTTAAGTGTTGTTAACTTTATGTAATAGCATTTAGGTTAAGGATTAGTATGCTTCTGGTTGTATGAAGTGTATCTGTATTATTAGGTGTAATTATGATCTTATTATTGTCTTTCTTTGAAGATTATGTATGGTTTCAGGAGATGTGTATGGGTTCAAGTTGACAAGGGGTGGACTTGTGATGATTAATATTGAGTGTCAACCTGATTGGATTGAAGGATGCAAAGTATTGTTCCTGGGCGTGTCTGTGAGGGTGTTGCCAAAGGAGATTAGCATTTGAATCAGTGGACTGGGAGAGGCAGACCCACCCCCAAGCTGAGTGGGCATCATCTATTCAGCTGCCAGTGTGGCTAGAATATAAGCAGGCAGAAGGAAGGTGGAAGGAGCTGACTTGCTGAGTCTTCTGGCCTTCATCTTTATCCTGTGCTGGATGCTTCCTGCCCTCGAACATCAGACTCCAACTTTTTCAGCTTTTGGACTCTTGGACTTACGCCAGTGGTTTGCCAGGGGCTCTTGGGCCTCGGGCCATGGGCCATAGACTGAAGGCTGCCCTGTTGGCTTCCCTACTTTTGAGGTTTTGGGACTCGGACTGGCTTCCTTACTCTGCAGCTTGCAGACGGTCTACTGTGGGACTTCACCTTGTGATCCTGTGAGTTAACACTCCCTAATAAACTCCCTTTCATACATATGTGAATCCTATTAGTTCTTTCCCTCTAGAGAACCCTCACTAATACACCAGGGTAATGGAACACTTAGACCACTTTCTTTGGAAGTAATAGTTACTATCAAGAAGTTTATTTTATTTACTTGTAAAACCTACAAAGTTGAGTGGCAACAAAGCGATTGATAATTTTTGGAAAACACTGTGAACACAGCCCGCTGTCCCATAATTACTCCATGTTCCATCTCATGAGGAAACCAGGCTCTGGGATATTCATCTGGTTTTGATCTTAGGGGTTACACACACAGCTCCATAAGATTATATGTGTGGTGAATGGAGATTCGGATTCCATTAAATAGATTGGGAATTATTGGACAAATTCTCCACTTAGGCTTCTGAATTCCAGATGGATAACATATTCAGGTGCTTAGTGGATGCTTGGCTATGAATGACTAATCCAGATTGCTGGTTTATCAGCTTTGCATGGTAGCTTTGGTTTAATGCAGGGCAAGAAAACCCATAGTTTGTTCTGACATGCTGAAGAACGGTTTGCTGTTGAACCAGGTTTCCTCTTATCCTTGATGATTTTCAGAAGAGAAAGCCTGTGAATCTTTGCTTGGGTAGTTCGTTTGAAACAGGTCATTATTCTTTTCATTAAGCACAGACAGGTAAGAATGGTTTCCTGAAACATCTGGTTTGCAGCATTGGCCTCAGGCTCCTACATTCATGGTCATAATAAAATCAGGCTAAATAACCACCTCTGCAGTCATGCTAGAGAAAGGGTTTTGCAGAAAAACAAGTAATGTAGCAAAATAGTGACAAATCAGTAACAAAAGACCAACCTGACTATTGTTGCCTGGCTAATGGGATAAGGTGATTGTGATTGTCATTTCGTCATAGTCAAGAACTGTCGCTCATTCATTTTCATATACACAACACTTTGAACAGTAGTTGATATGTTGTTGTTAGTAGAAAGATGTTTGTTGAGTGAATAACTCAAAAAAAAACAGAGGTATAGCAGTAGCAGCAGCATTCTCTGAGAGACTGACTGCTCATTTAAATATTACAATACAGTATTAGCCATACACCTAATATGGAAAAGTATGCAGGGGTTCCTTGCTATTTTGCCACATAAAGATGGTAGTGGGCAGAATTCTACGATGACCCCCCAATGACCTATGCACTTGTATAATCCCCTCCTCTTGGGTTTGGGTGGGACCTTTAACTTGCTTCTAACTAATAAAATATGGTAAAGGTAAAGGGATTTTGTAGAGTAGTTAAGGTCCTTAATCAGTTGACTTTATAATAATTGAAAGGAAGATTATCCTGTGTGGACCTTAATTTGAGAGCCCTTTGGGTTCCAGTACCAGAGCAACTAGCAGCCCTGTCCTAGCAGGGAACAAAGGGAGCTGGATGTGGGTGTTTTCGGTGTGCCTTTCATGGGACACTTCTGAAACCTGGTGGATGGCCTAATGCCTAGTTGTCTGACCCATGACCAGGGGGTTCCTTACATGGGAAACTTGTTTGTATTGGCAGACACCCTTGTGGCTCTGTGTGAGCTGTGTCCAGTTTATGATTACCTCAATCCACCACCACAATAGGAAACAAGCTAAAAGATTTTTACTTACAGATCTTGGGCAAGGAGGGTGTGATGATGTGGGTGGGCAGTCCTCTATCCTAAAGTCAGGCAAGGCAGGAATGAAGAGTTGGGCAGAGAGAGGGTGTGTGTGGCAACTAGCAGTATATATAAGGGAATAGGCTGTGGGCCCTCCAAGTTCGGGGGCAAATGCCGGAATCAATGGTCCCCTTAAAGGAAGTGGCAGGAAAGGGGGACCCAGTCTAATAGGCAGGAGAGATGCCTCTAAGTTCTCATCTCTGGCCACCAGCTTGAGCCATGTAGGTGTGGTGTCAGACTGGAAACTGCCAGGGGTCACTGAGCCCTGCTTCTGCAGGAGAAAGTTAAACTTGCATTCAGAATGGATGCTGAGGCAACACAAAATTATAAGAATGCATTATAGGTCTGACCGAACCAGGTGAGCATTCTGAAAGAAACTCTAGGGGTCAGAAAGCTGAAGAAATCAGCTAGCCTCGAAGAAATGAGCTGACCTGAGTTATACAGCTGCGATGTAATGGATTCAGCCAACAACCCTGTGAACATGCCCAAGAACCCAGCCTCAGAGGAGCCCCCAGCCCTGGCTAACACTCTTGATTCCAGCCTTGTGAGATCCTGAGCAGAGAACTCACTAAGTCATGCCTGGAAACCTGCCCATAGAAACCACGAGATAAGAAGTGTGTGTTGTTTTCAGCCACTCAATTTGAGATACTTTGTTACATGGAGATGGAAAACGAATACACAGGGCATCTGCAGATATTTATGGCATGCCTTGTCTCTGTTTTATCAAAGTGCTGTGTATTTAGTGTGTGAGACATAGATAGCAGCGAATGCTAGTTATGCCCTGCAACCTGTGTTTCCATTCATGTTAAAGTATCATCCTGTATGTGGCATCTTGAACCAAATGAAGATTTTGGGAAGAGGTTTTGCTTTCCCTTTTTTGGATGTTGTGGGTCACCAGGCAACTTCATTGATCACGTCAGACATCAGTGGATCAACTGGCACATGCAGCAGTCTTAAGACAGTTCCATAAAAGTTCTGTCAGCTTTTTACAAAATGTCACTTGTGATAAAATGTTGACAGTTCTTTGTATGTATTAGCTGCACTTTCAGTATTGTTCTGGCTGATAATAATGATGGTTAGCTTAAAGGAGCACTCTTCAGCATCATGGGTTATGCCAACCAACCAACCAACCTTCCTTCCTCCCTCCCTCCCTTTCCTTCCTTCCTTCCTTCCTTCCTTCCTTCCTTCCTATTTATTTATTTATAAATAAAAGATTAACTCTTGCTCTGTTTCCAAGGCTGGAGTGCAGTCGTAGCTCACTTCAGCTTTCAACACCTGGTTTCAAGCAGTCCTCTCGCCCTAGCCTTCTGAGTAACTGGGACTACAGGTGAGAGCCACTGTGCCCAGCTGGTTATATCAACTTTTAATGCAACATTTGTCTTCAGCTTGATACTTTTCAGTTTGTTGTATTTTCTAGTTTGGACCTGAGATTATTATGGACATGGCTCTCGTGGCTTCTTCTAGATCATCATAGGCAATGTGAAAGGAACTAGGGAAGTTATTTGAGTTATTTAGTCCTTAACATTATCTATGTAATCAAAAGTGAGCTTTTGTTTGAGAGGTAGGAAAAAACAAGTAAAAGAAAAAAGAAGATAGTGGATTAAGGCAGAATATGACTTGCACTAATGGGCAACTAGTCTTATTTGACAGAAAATGGAGTTTAAACACATTTTTCTATCCTGATTCTTATGAAGTCTGAGAAGAGCTCTCTTCTAGTTTTAGATATTTTTAGTGTGTTTGCTTGTAGGAGGCAATCACAACTCAATGGAAATAAGTGGTGACGGATGCTTCAGGAGAGGGATTTGTGTGTAGATTGGCTCTCTGGACCTGCCCCTCCTCCATTGAGAGAGACAAGTTGGGTAGTTTGCACCAATTAGATACACTGATGTGAAATTTGGAAGGCATTAGTGAAGCAGAGACAATCTTCTTGCCCTCTTTTGGCTGTTTGGATTTTTTTGTATAGAGTGTTCTGCATTTGTGCTCAGGCTTCTGGGTTACAAGAGGGTGTTGTGATTTTGGCTCTGGTATCAGCTTCCTAGTCCTTTGATGGCAGCTCCTGGAATGTCTTCTTGAGCTTGCAGCTCTAGTGGTGGCTTCAGAAGAAGGAACTTCCCCTTGAGGGTAGTTCTAAGTTGTTACCAGAGTCATATTTGTAAGTCCAACCTGGAAAGGTTCTTGCAGAACCTCCAGCAAGTTTTAGGCCCCTCATTCCATGTATTCAGTGCTTTACAGTTTAAAACACCTTGAGTAGCTTGCCCTGAATCCTGAATCTTGATGCGTATGTGTAGTTTAGCGTATGCACTGAATATTTTTTATTTATGTATCCTCTTTTATTGATCAATCTTGCAAAAGGATTATCCATGTTTTAAGTCTTGTAAAAATCCAGTCTTTGGTTTTGTTAATTTCTTTTTTTTGTGTGTCTTTGTTTTCTATTTCATCATTTTCTGTTATACTTTCAGTATAAACTGTTTCATTATTTCTGTTTCATCATTTTGTGTTCATACTTCTAAATTTTTTAAAGTTTTATTTTGTTGTTATATAACTATTTAAGTTTTATACTTGGTTCATTAACTTTAAGCCATTTAAAAACTTTTTTTCTAAAATAAGCACTCAAGCCTATACATTTCTCTTTGAGGATGGTATAGATACAACATGGGAGTTTTGGTTTGTGGTATATTTATTATTGTTTAGTCCAGAGCATTTTAAAATACCAGTTACGGTTTATTCTTTGAACCAAGAGCTATTTAACAGGGTGTTTTTAACTTTATACGTTGGTGGGGGTGTAAAAATTCTTTTTCTTTTTGATTTTTAACTTGCACTGGGTCAGAGAATGTGGTTTGTACTATAGTGATTTTTAGAAATGTGTTGAAGTTTTGTTTATGGCCAGAAATATTTTTATAAATGTTCGTGTGTTCTTGAAAATACTTCTGTAGCTTTAGGAAGCAAATCAGCATAGTTATTTATATTATTAAAATATTCTATATTTTTCATATTTTTTATTGCTTGGTCTACCAATTATTTAGAGAGGAATGTTACTGTTTCCCTCTATATTGGTAGATTTGTCAGATTATCTTGAAGTTCTGCCATTTAAAAGTATATTTTGCAGTTATATTAATAGGTGAGCCTACAAGGTTAAGATTTTAGAAATTTTCATAATAAAAATGATAATAAAATTCATCATTTTATTATAGCCTAATGGCCCCATTTATGTCTAGTAATACTTATTACTTTAAAGACTATTTCTCCTATTAATACCAATTATTTTATTAGTATTTTCTATGTTTTTTTTATTTTCAACTTTTCTAAGTCTTTCTGTCTTAGATATGTTTCCAGTATACTGCATGTGTTTGTATGTATGGGTGTGTGTGTGTGTGTGTGTGTGTGTATGTGTGTGTATTTTTCTTTCTAGCTATACATATTGTGGACAATATAGATACAATTTCTCAATATATATGTAATTTCTCTGACAATCAATGTCTTTTAACTCATGAGTTTTTTTGTTCACATTTATTGTGATTATAGATATATCTTATTTATCTTGGCCATTTCATTTTTGTGCTTTATATTTGCTCTGCTTTTTATTAGTGCTTTTCTTTTTTGTTTATGTTTGGATTGACTGGCCTTTTCTTCCTTTTCCTTCTTTATTGTAATTTTTTCTATACTGATTTGAAGTAATGTATTATCTTGTAGTGATTTTCCAAAAATCACTAAAATATATTTAAGCTAAAGTCTAAATTCAGTTAATATCTTTACTTTCTTCCTAAAGAATAAAAAAAACTTAGAATGTCTTAATTTCAATCATGATTGTCCCAATTAATATACTATTGTTCTCCAGTGTTTTAGTATTTATTTTCCCTACTTGAGATTTGTTGAGTTTCTTGAATCTGAAGATTTATGTCTGTCATTAATTTGGAAAAATTCTCAACCATTATCTCTTCAAATATTCTGTCTCATTGTATTATCTCCTTTAGAAACTTCAATTAGATATATGGTAGGCCATCTCACTCTATTACTGTGTTTCTCAATTCCTTGTTAATATTTTTCCTCTTTACATCTCTGCGATACATTCTGGAATATTCCTTCAAATTTATTTTTCACTTCACTAATTCTCTCTTCAGAGATGTCTAATTTTCTGTTTTAACCCAACCTTTGCATTCCTAACTTTATTATATTAAATTTATTTTGTGTGTTTATTTTATTTTCCACCTTTTCCAATTTTAGAAGATATGGTTTTTTCATGATTATTAATTTTGCATCATGAGTTTCGTATCTTCTTTAATTTCTTCAAACATACTAGATATGTGTATTTTATATATATATATTTTGATAATTCTCAATTCTACTTCTTTGTGGGTTTGCTTGTTTATAGTAGCTTTTATCCTTGTATGCATTGCTCGACTTTGAATTGTGAAACATATTACTTGGAAATTAGTGTATAGGAATTCTTTGAGGTCTGGGTTTAAGGTTTTTGTCCTGTGTCTATCGAGAGAAATACCATGGATCACAGAGCTACATAAGTAGGGTGAATTCTGGCCCCAAACACAGTGAGTACCAGAATGTGGTTAGACGTTCTCAGGGAATTTTCCTCCCTCCATTCAGAGCCCGTGCTGAAGCAGTCTTTTCATGCTGCCTTCTTCTTGTGGGTGTTGTTTACCGAGGGTCCTGGTGTTCATTGTGTGGTGGTCTCTGATCTGATTTAATGGCTTACATATACTTGCTCTTCTGTTTTCCCCACTCAGCCCTCAGACATTAGCAGATCGCCCTTGCTTACCTCTTTCTATTCAGGATTTGTCATTGTTTTTGGTATGTGAGAATGTTCTTTAAATTTTTGCCAGGCTAGTTATAAAAATATTTAAAAATGAATATTTTATATATTAGTTTTAATAGATTTGTATTTGGAAGCTTTTAAGCATATGTCATTGTTTATCTTAATGAAAATGGAAAGTACCAGAGTCCTACTGGAGGTTAGGTTCATCTGATGCAGGTAATTAGGCTGTAACTTCCCTAGAGCATCTATAATGCAGGACTTCATGATGAAAATAAAAAAGATACATGTAGGAATTTAACTCAAGCTGGAGAATTCCAAGGTTTCAGTCACTTAAACGGAGTCACAAGAAGAGGTTGTTGTTCTGTTGTTATTTCTGTGGTATCTTCAGGTGTAAGTCTGCCTGGAGAAAATAAAAGTCATCATAACAAAAAATAGACACCAATCAATAGAAGAATGACTGGTCTCATGGAAACCTCCTTCCTTCTTTATCATAGTCTTTATTACATCAGACATTGCCATGCAAATGCCTGCAAAACATTTGCAAAGTGAAATTTTGAGCCTTACAATAGAAGCAGGATTTATGAAATTACTGAAAGTGATGTTGGAGAACTGTTCAAATCTTGTGCAAAGCCCTTGAAAAGTGAGTTCCTGGGAAGGCTATACTAGCTAACATGTGAAGAGTAGAAAACTGATAAGGACAGTGATGTGATAAGTTTCAACAGATCAAGAGGGATGCTTGGAAGCATTGATGAAATGTGCTGTGATATTTTTGCAAAACTGACCCTCTTTTTGATTGGGCTGAGGAAGTTGGGTATAAATGTAAGCTGTCATGCTCAAACACTGCCACCATCCATACTTGATGCATTGTTTGTTTAATAAGAACCTAAAAAGATGTTAAATAGAAACAAAACAAATTTGTTTTGATTTCTAGTTCAAGATAAAACCTCAGTTGAACAGTTTGATCATTCAACTGTGATATGTTGGTTTCTATTTTAAGCGGATTCACTTGAGGCAGCTTTTCTTTCTGTACTAACTTAATGATAATTAAGCCTCCTGTATGGCAAATGATCTGTAGCATAAGTCTGGTATAGACTCCCAAGTCCTTTATATGATTGAAGCTCTTAGGCAGGGCAAGAGTACATACCATGCTGGTCTGGATGCCTCTTTTTTCTTGTGTGGTCCAGATTTAGATGATCCTTTTTGCTGTGATCCGTGCACACCTGCACTTGGAGGGTCACTTTGGTGTATGAGGACCTTTATGACCTTTTAGGGAAAATTCAGTCTACACTGATAAATATTTAATATTTATGCAGAGTATAAAATGCTTCCCCAAGGTGTTCTTGAGGCTTCTGCTCCAGTATGGGCTATAAATTGCCCTACCAGTTTCTTTTCCTCTGGAAATGCCATTTTGCCCTGCTTTGGCTTATAGATCAAATTGGATGCCTTGGCAGTTTCTGCCAAGTCTCTGTATCCAGTCATTGACATGCTGTGGTAATGGAGAATGTTTTCTCTTGTTCAAAGGTTAATGGACACAATAACTGCTTGTTGGGATTCAGGCTGAGGATGGATTCTCCAAATTGGGTAGAGACCCACTCAGTGTCTTGACCCTTCCTGAGTATGTAGCAGAAAGGATATAGCAGTCCTTGGATATCGATATCGGTCTTTTGGTGTCCAGTCTGAGGGGCAGATTAACGGTTAAATGTATAAACTCAGGGATCCGAGAGCCTGCATCTGAATCCCAGTTCTGTCACTTACTAGATGTGTGGCTTAGATATGTGACTTAACCTCTTCGTGTTTTGATTACCTCATCTACAAAAAGAGCATGATTATTGTTCTTACCTAATAGATTTCTTATGAGGACCAACATGAGCCACTGTTTGGGATATGGTTAGTAAGTGTCAAGTAAGTGTTTGTTAAAATAAATTATATAAATCACAAAGCTGAGAATTGTGATATTTTACACATCATACTGAGAATTCTGAGATTTCAGACATAAAGTCACATAGAACAGTTGAAAGGAGTGTGTGCGCACGTGCATGCGTGTGTATGTGTGGGTGTGTGTGCGCACGTGTGTGTATGTGTATGTTTGAAGATGATTCTGAATTAGAGAGTACTCAGCAGCATTAAACCCTCCTCAGATGTCAGAGTCCAATATTGGCACATAGAAAGTGAAGGGAATATTTGCTGGGACTAGATGATTCTAAATTATTCACGAAGGCTTTGCAATCTTGAATCCTTTAATTCCATCACATCTCTAGTACAAAAGGCAAAGCCAATGTTTTCTGGTTATAGATTTTGTAAAATAAAATCCTTCGGCTGTGCCAGGCTGGTGAAACTATTTTAATATGAGGTATCAGCTGCTGTATCTATTGCTTCAATTAAAGCCTACCACTGGAGAAAAACCAGGGGAAACCCAACTCCATGAAAAAAAAATCATGAACAGAGGCATTTTTAATCTCTGGCTTGCTGTTAAGCTTGTGGGACTGTGCTTTGGGATTTCTATACAAAGACAGAGGCTCAAGCTGGCAAGTGAATTCTTTCCTAAGTGAAGCAATACCAACTAGTCCTTAGAAGTGAACACTTCACATTTTGGGGGTTTTCTTGCTGGCCCAGCGCCCTCATTGCCTTTCCGGCTTCTGTGCCTTTTTGCCCCTGCGGCCCTTGCCTACCACCCCTCCCCTCTGTTCTTTTCTCACCTCTCCCGCCCCAGAAGAGACTACACCCCTTCGCAAGGCATCTGCCCAGACAAAGGCAAGTCCTTCTCCCCACATGGACTCTTACAGCACCATTTTCCCTACTCTTCATTTGGCATGTGGAATGCATTGTTGGGTACAGTCTGTCTCATATTATCAGCTATAATGTGACTTCACAAGGATAAGACTTCTATTTACACTTCATTAAATTTCTACACTTGCAAGCATAACAGATGCTGAATAAACAGCTACCAAAGGATTTGATTCTGGGACCCTCATTTCCAGTCCTGGCTCTGCCACCAGCTTGCTAAAGTAATTTTTGATGTATTAGCTACACACACTGTTACTCACACATGCCTTAAGTAATCATAGTCCAAAACAGGTAACAATTACTGAATTCTTCTTACATTTCAGTATTCTAAGCATTTCACATTTGTCAGCAAATTTAATCCTTACAAAACAGCTATAAAGTAGGTACTGTTTGTCATCATCATTTTATAGATGGGGAAATTGAGGCACTGAATAGTTGAGTAACTTGCTCAAGAACATAGAACTAGTAGTGACAGTCCCAGAGTTCAGACCTAGGCAGCCTGGCGGCTCAATTAGCTGACTCCAGTAACAACAATAACCTCCCGTGGCAGCTTTTGATGCGTTTACTTGGCGAGGCTACGGTCTAACGACGCAGTCGGCCGCTAGTCTAGGTGTTGCCCTGAAGGGATTTTGCAGGTGTAATTGAAGTCCATACTTAGTTGACTTTACGGAGGTTATCCTGGGTAATCTGGGTGAGCCTGACTTAGTGGGCCCTTGAAAGCAGGGCTGAGGCTTTCCCAGAGAGAGGACATTCCACCTGCCGATCCAGCAGCCCTGTCCTCCCCATGGTCTTCGTGTCCTGACCTCCTGTCCTGTGGATTTCAGTGTACTCAGCCCCCACAGTCCCATGGATGCTTCCTGGTCCTCGATCCTTCCATGTGTGTCTTGTACTGGCTCTGCTGCCTTGCTTGGACCCTGACCAGGACACACTTTGACACCCACCTAGTACTCCAGAGTTTGCCTGGAGCTGTCATAGCCCTCACCCGGGAGCACACTGTTCCCTTTAGGGGCTCTCCGGCGTCCCTCGTGCCTCTCATGAAGATCTTCCCTCCCTCCATTCTGTCTGGTGGGTTCAGAAAACTTAGAAAACTATTCTTTCCATTGTAGATAATTCTATCCTTCCCCACAGTGGACTGGGAACAGCTTGAGGGTGGTGGCCTGTCCATCTCTTGTATCTGCCATCAAAGCCAAGAGTAACGCTGGCTCATGCCAAGTGCTCCATGTTTGCAGATGGGAAGGATTGAATATCTTGGGCCAAGTTGAAAAAGGTGAACTTCTGGCTTTTATGGGCAGGAATTGCTTTTCTTACTGGGTGCTAATAAGTGCTTTAAATCTGGGAGACAGCAGAGCTAGAAACATTAGGATTGTGGTAATTCACTAGGGATATTTATTCTAATGATTGACTTTCAAATTTTACCCCTTTAACTGCCATGCTTAACCTTTATTCTCCCAAGTTAAAATTTACTGCATTTCCCTAGGTTTCATAAGGAATGAGTGACTGTGAGTATGTGTATGTTTTGCCTGGGCACAATCATTCGTTGGTGACCTAAACTTGCATGAATAAATGTCCATTCACAGTAATCAGAGGTTATTGTGCATTTACGGAAATAACTGGATCAAAGAGGCCTTTCTCCAGAATATCGAGGTCCCAGATTAATTGAAATATCATCAGAGTAATGTTTTAATTTTCTCTCTCTGTTCTGTCCTTTTCTCCTTTTGTGAAACAAACAAACATGACCTCCTCCAGTTTAGTAATTGTGTTTTCTGAAATAGAGGTGGTAGCATGAGAGTATTCATCAAAAAGCAGTGAGCTCGATCAGACCGAGGCACGATGTTGAGAATGGTATTTCTTTGATCATGTTCCAGGGCAGAGTGGCTTGGTTTTGTGTCCTGGGCTCAGGATACGGAAGGTGTGCCCACTGGGTGGGACTGTGCTCGTCTGTGTGTGTGTACTCATTGCTGTTCCCTCACTTGGTTTTGTGTCCTGGGCTCAGGATATGGAAGGCGTGCCCACTGTGGGGGACTGTGCTGGTCTCTGTGTGTGTACTCATTGCCATTCCCTCCAGCATGTGATGATTTTATCAGGGAACTTTACTGTAAATAAACATGATCAAGTGAAGCCTCTGCTTCAGGGTAAGACAGATGTGGGTACCACACAGTCTTGCTGCAAATGCATATGTCAGCTGTGCCTATTTGAAGAAAATTCATCCCCAGGCAGCATCTGATTTATATGGGACATGAACTGTGCATTTCCACATGTGGATGACTCACATGGTCCTTCCAGGGATAAAAGTCTCTTATGAATGTGCTTGAATGGGATTAAGCACAAACTAGTTTGGAATTTGAGGGAGAAAATGGTGTTGGTGAAGTTCACTTCAGTGGTTTTCTCATAAAAGTAGAAGAAATCAAATACTTTTGATTCTTCTGCCTGCTCTGAACATTTGTGTGTGCACGTGTGTGCAAGTGTAATAGCCAAAGATGTGATATCTTGATTTTGACTTCAATTCTTGTCATTTTCAAGGCCTAATTCATTTTCATGTTTCCTAAGGATAACCCACGACTTCTTTCAAAATCATTAGTGAAAGAAATGATCTTCCTTAATGATGTTCTAAAAACAGAGGAGAGGTCAAATAAAGGCATAAAGGCATTTATAAACATGCGCTCTCCACTCTTGAGCTCACTTTAAAATTTTCTGTTCAAGCTGTTGTATACAAAAATACCCCAGTCTGCTCTGAGGGCTACCAGTGTTTTAGAGATAATCAGGCTTGGGCTCTCTGAAGCCATGAACACTTTGAGAAAGAAAGAGCTTATTATCTTCCTTCTTGAAATTTGTGGCACAGAGTGGGAAGACTGACAAAAGTTGGAGCAAAACCCAGTGTGCTTCTCTGTCTTTGCAGGAGAGTACTTCCCAATGTTACCAGTGAGGAAACTGAGGCCTGAAGAGCTTAAAACTCTTTTTTTACTGTATTGCTAGAGATTAGGACATGATTGTTCCCAGACAGGGCTTTTAGGAAAGAAAGTTCACAGCAATTCAGGAAGCCCTTAGGAAGCTCCAGATGAAAGGCATTGGGGAGGGAGTGCAGCGTAGAACGTGACTGAAGCTCGGAATGGAGCAGGCTGAAATAATTGAGATGCTTTTAATTCATAAACAAGGTTAGTCTGGTGTCCATCCAGATATTGGATTTCAAATGGGAAGATTTCAGCTGTAGCCAGAGATGATTTCTCAGGATTTTTAGTCTCACCTGGGAAAAGCAATAAGGAAGTCGTGTTTAATCAGCAAGTGGTGGGAAGAGCACTGGCTTCGGTTGGCCAGGCCACAGGTGAAAGCCCAGGCCCATCACTCACCAGCTCTGCAGCTCCCACTTGCCCAGCAGATCTGGCCCTGCTTTTGATGATCCTCCGTAGTATGCCACGTAGCAGGCATTTAAATAAGCATGGTTGTCCTCTGTTAGGAGATGTGGAAGCCATCTCCATGAAAGTGGCACACCTAGTCACTAATAGGTGATTGCTCTGTTCTGATGCACAGTGGCTGTTTTCATATTTAGATGATTCTGCAGGGAAAACATTAAATTGCTCAGAAGGCTTGAAGGATTTCACTGGAAGAAAAATAATAGTTGAACCTAGTGTAGTGTTAATCGGTCCCTTAAAATGAAAAGCTACATTCAATTCCATAAAATATCAATCATATCATTTATTCTACCTATTAAGTGTGTCATGAAGCACTCACAGTTGAGTGGGGGAGATAGACTCAACAAACAAACAATGTAGTGCATGATTAGTTGGAGCAAGTGACCTCAGAGTTTGGTGGTGGAGGAGGGAGCTGGGAGAGGCTTCAATGTTCAGACTACTTTTGAGCTGAGGTTTGAAAGATACATATGGATTTGCCAGGGAGAGGTGGGGAAGGCAGGGGTGTTCAGAGGAGGAATACTTTTCATAAATTCAAGAGGGGATGGCACTGATTTTGGCTGGCCTTACATATTGGCCCTCCTTACAGATGTGATGACCAGAGCATCAGGTTCTTCTCCTGAGGCTCAATAGGTAAGTTAGTGCCCTGTGCTGAGAGCCAGGGTTAAGGATGGAGCGGAGTTCTTTTTTTCTGGTCATAGTGGCACCTCTTAAGTGAAGACGAAACCATGGACCAAGAGACCCTGGAAGATCAAGCTCAGGGTGGGTCATGGCTCCCCGTGTAGGGGCACAGGCTGATTGCATAGGCTGGCGGGGCTGAGACAGCCCTCCTCGAACTCATCAAGCCATGTGCCTTGCCCACGGCTGTGCCCAGCTGGAGAACGGGGCCAGGCCCAGGCAGTTCTTGGTGAGGGACCCTCAGGAGAGCAGAGTCCTGTTGGGTCTTCTCTCAACAGCTCCCAAGTGGAAGGTCTGTGTGTGGCAACCCCGTGACTCCAGGTTGGCTTGGAGTTAGGCCCACCTGACCATTCAGCAGCAGCGGTGTTCACATCAGGCCACAGTCCTGGGGTTTGTGGAAGGACTTGTGCCAAACTAAGTCAGGGGACCACTTCACATCCTTCTGCTGCTGGGATGTAATGAATATATCATTTGCCTTTTATGGAGCGACAGTTTTCACATCACAATTTACTTTTTCTCTTTTCACCTGTCTTTATGGAATAATCTTTAGAAAAGAAAATCTGCTAAAAATAGGCTCTGAAAGCATCAGTAATGTCTGCTTCAAAATTCAGTATTAATATTTCTAGGCAGAATGAAAACAAATTTAACTTGTCATCTAATTTATTAAAGATAAAACCCTCAGAATGTACTTGACACCTTAATTCAACACGGATGTTATAGATTGGATCTTTTAAAACCACGCAACCATATGCATGTTTGTTTATGTGTGGACGCACACATATCTCAGATGAACCCCTTCTCTTGGTAACAGGGAGCAGGCTGGCAAATCCTTCCTTTCCACTGTTTCCAGCTGAGTTTGGAGAAGGGTGATGCAACTGTTGTTGTCCTCTTGTGTGCTATTACAGCACCCATGCATCTTCCAACATTTATTGGACACTTACTGTATACCAGTACTTTGTTAAATGCCGTTTTATTTGGAATGAATGCCTATTTATTCTCTCATCTAATTCTCACAACAGCATACAAAGCAGGTGCTATTCTTACTCCCATTTCCCAGTTGAGTAAGCCAAGACTTAAGGAGATTAAGTGAATTTTTCAAGATGAGAGGCAGCTAGCAAAGGGGACAGTCTGACCCAGCCATATGACTCCTGAACACATGGTCTCAAGCCCTCTTTTACTTAAGCTCTCCTGCTGGACTGAAAGCTCCATGCCTATCACCGTATATATAGATAATAACAAATGTAGTTGCATTGAATTAAACTACAGAGTGTTTTACTTCCGTGCCCCAGATGATTAGTGGGTGTCACTGGTTCTCAACTGAGGCCATTTTGCCCCTAGGGGACATTTGGCGATGTCTAGAGACATTTTTGGCTGTTGCAAGTTGGGGAGGAGGTGCTGCTGGCATCTGGTGATTAGAGGCCAGGGATACCGCTAAACATCCTGGGGACAGGACAGCCCCCACAATAAAAAAATGTCGCACCAGAAATACCAGTAGTGTCGGGGTTGAGAAATCTGGTGTATATCAGTTTGGTAACTTTTTGTGAAATATAGAGGCAAGATTATCCCCAGCAATCATAGCAGTGAAAGGTTTATGCTTATCACATGTTTTCTGAGGATAATTTTTTGAGCATTTTCATTGTTGAATCCTTTTTTTCAGCAATTGCCAGTTGTTAAAAACCAAGACTCATCTTTGTCATTCTCCCAAGATACAACATTAGCACAAGCTAGGCTGATGCCTGGTGTCGTGGAAATACTGCACCAGCCAGAGACGCGTGGTTTTGTTTAGGGCTTGTGCATTGTGAACTTGGTCTACATTTTTCATTGTATAGCATTAAAACTTTAAAAAAAAGTATACAAGCATACTTTTAGCATCTCTACTTCCTGAATAGCATGTTTATAAACATGGGCCAACTGGATTAAACTAACTGCATGTGTAGAGTCACCAAACACAGTAAAATTATCACTAAATTCTGCATATTCTTTACGTTCACTTGGAATTATAAAAGCAGATGCTACTCTTGTATGCTTAACAGTATTTGACTAGAATAAAATAAGTTCAAAAGCAGTGTTTATTTTTTATTTTTGATACTTTTTATGAGAAACTTAAATATTGGTATTTGGTATTACATTCATAATTTATCCATGAGCTCTTAATATGTTATACCACTGTAAACAAACAATCCTGTAAATAACATCTTCTAGATAAATATGTTTGTAACAATAAACTGTGATATCCATTTCTTATTTATTTATTTATTTTTTTGAGACCGAGTCTCGCTCTGTCTCCCAGGCTGGAGTGCAGTGGCGCGATCTTGGCTCACTGCCAGCTCCGCCTCCCGGGTTCACGCCATTCTCCTGCCTCAGCCTTCCGAGTAGCTGGGACTACAGGTGCCCGCCACCACGCCTGGCTAATTTATTTGTATTTTTTAGCAAAGACAGGGTTTCACTGTGTTAGCCAGGATGGTCTCGATCTCCTGATCTCATGATCTGCCCGCCTCAGCCTCCCAAAGTGCTGGGATTACAGGCGTGAGCTGCTGCGCCCGGCTGATGTCCATTTCTTATGAAAAAATTTAACCACAGATCTCTAGGACTGCATTGCTTTATCTGCAAACCCCTACTCAATTTATTAGCATTATGCTGTTTACTGTAATCCTCCATGTTGGCATTTGAGGCATAGCACTGTGGTCAACTCTGTGGTCCCATTGGTCTTGAAGTGTGCTTGTGTTTCCTGGGTCATGGGTCTGCTGTAGTCTTTGCAGGCACCCAGCACACAAGGGTGGCACATGAGAGTCACTGAATGCATGCTGGCTAACCAATTTCTGCTATTACGTGGATTAATTTCTGGCTTCATCATGTCACGTTCATAAATTAGACATCAAAAATTATAAAATAGGTAATATGTTTTTAAATATATAATATGGTATTAAAGTAATAACTTCAGATTTTGTCAAAACTTGTTAATGTGTGATTGGATTTAAAAATGGAGGTTTAGACTGAAGCACCACTAGGATAGAGGAGAGATGGCAAAGTGAGTGGGAGACGAGTATTTATATGCAGAATTTATAGGAGAAACTTTGCAGATGGATTCCATGAGCCTTGGACTTCTAAACCACATAGAAAGTCTAAAAGGGAGTAGAGGGAAGATGTGTGAACGCTTGTGGAGAGGTGCGTGTGGAAAATGATGTGGCTGTGTTGTGAATCCTCATTCCCTCACAGGGAGGAGGTGGCTGGGGGAGCCACACCCTTCATCTGTAGCCTAGTGAGAGGATTTCCATCAGCTGTTGCAGGGCTCTTGAAGTGTGTTCTTACACTTGGGAGATGCAGAGTACTGCTGCCTGAGAAGGATGAAGTGGGCTCTAGTAAGAGCATAGAGATGCCTGGGATTGCCCTGCACTCCCAGAAGTTTTTGGAGCAAGGGATGTATCATTGTCTTCCGATCCAAATACTGGCCATGTGAAAGAGCTGGTGTGGGACTGTCCTGGGTCTTGCCCAACAGGGCCACCTAGAAGGATGGAGGGACCCCAGCAGCAAGGAGCTGAAAGGGATGCTCCGTTTCTGGGAGCTCGGGAGGGATCTGAAGATACTGCCCCGAATCAAGCTGCATACACGTGGGTCAGCAGAGTGCAGGAGATCAGACCCAGAAATGGGAACCTGAAGAATACTGTGAGGTCCCCACGAAAGCATAAAACCACTCAGGCTAGCTAAGAATTGCCCACCCCTTTCCCAGACTCACACAGGTGTGAAATACCATAACATATTAGCAAGTTGATCAAGAATCATAAAATGGATATTCCAGTTGCAAACCTTTTTTCTCATAATATACGTGATGCTTTTTAAGTGAACCAATGTCCCGCACCCCGACACACACACATATAGCACTCATATCTGTAAACACTCAACACCCAGGAAAGCAGGTCTGTATCCCCAGGCTGACCACAGATCTGTGGCGTCTATGGGCCAGTCTGATCAGATTCCCTCTTAAGAACTTAAACTGGAAGGAAGCAAAGAAACTGTTGTTACTTAGTAAGAGAAAAAAGAGACACAGGAGTTTCTGTGGCTGCTGATGGTGGAGCGCTCACGTGAAGATCCACCTGCTTCCGCTGTGGGAGTCCGGGAATCTGCTTTGGATCCCACCCCGCACCCCATTCTCCAACCGGAGGGCAGCTTCTTGTCACAGCCTTATTCTAGGGCTCCATGAGGGGGGTCTCTCATCACCCCTTACATAAACAGCTCCTTATCTGTTCCACCTAGAGGGAATGTTTGTTCCTAGCAAACAAATGAGCCTAAACTAAAATATGCTAAAGGAAAGAAAACCTCTGTATCTGTTTGGAGAATAAATGAAAAGCAAATTAACTTCTGAGGTATTTGGAATTAGTTTGGGGTTTTGTTTGCATGTTTGTTTTTCACTAGAAACCTAAACGAAAGGCAAAGTTGGTTTTGAAAGATGACTCATTTCTAATTCAAAGTGTTTAAAAACGTCCTAGTTTTCAACTCTCCATAAGTCTTAGGCATTCCTGGGGCCTCATTCAGGCTCTGCGGGGCTGAGAAACTCCCCTAAGCTCACTGTCCTGGACGTTATGTCTGAGAACTATTGGCCAGAGATTCTTACAGGGTTATTACACTAATCTAGTGGGACACCTGGGTGCTTTCGTAAAAAGGACAAGATCAGTTCTCAGTGCTATCGTGATGCGGTAATTTAAATAGCCCATTACACTGTTCATAGCAATTTCCCCCTTTTATACTTGAAATGGAGCTGCGGTTGGGCAAGTGTCATACATAATCAGATGTCAGAGCTGTGACCAGCATTCTCCAGTGCTTGTGGCTCAGATTTATGCCTATCCCTTTGGGGCTTCCCTGGTTATTACAAGAGCCCCACTTATCTGCAGGGGATGTATTCCAAGACCTCTAGATGCCTGAAACTGGGCATAGTACTGAGCCCTGTACACCCAGTTTTTTTCTTGTACACACATATTATACCTAATTATAACAATGTACTGTAATAAAAATTATGTGAATGTGGTCTCTCTCAAAAAATACTCATGTTTCTTCTGATGATATTAGACGATAAAATGCTTACAGGATGAGAGGAAGTGAGTGAATGACGTGGACATTGTGATGTCGCTTTTGACTTTCTGATGAAACCTCAGAAGGAGGATCATCTGCTTCAGGTGACCCTGGATCCTGGAGCCTGGGTAATGATGACGTTGATGGTTGGATGTCAGAAGTGGACGATGTTGAAAGTTAATGGGCAGGTAGCTTCTACACCTTGGATAAGGTGGACAAAGGGGTGACTCACATTGCAAGCAGGCTGGAGCGGGACTGTATTAGGGTTCTTTAGAGGGACAGAACTAATAGGATAGATGCATATATGAAAGGGAGTTTATTAAAGGGAATTGACTTACACAATCACAAGCTGAAGTCCCACAATAGGCCGTCTGCAAGCTGAGGAGCAAGGAAGCCAGTGGTTGACTAGTCTGAGTCCAAAACCTCAAAAGTAGGGAAGCTGACAGTGCAGCCTTCAGTCTGTGGCCAGAGGCCCCGTGGCTCCTGGCAAACCACTGGTGTAAGTCCAAGACTCCAAAAGCTGAAGAACTCGGAGTCTGATGTTCAAGGGCATGAAGCATCCAGCATGGGAGAAAGATGAAGGCCAGAAGACTCAGCAAGTCCAGTCTTTCTGGTTTCTTCTGCCTGCTTTATTCTAGCTGTGCTGGCAGCTGATTAGATGGTGCCC
The DNA here is from genome assembly GCF_000001405.40 of Homo sapiens. NCBI lineage: Eukaryota > Metazoa > Chordata > Mammalia > Primates > Hominidae > Homo > Homo sapiens. The sequence goes on from NC_000006.12 coordinate 163,696,742, forward strand.
ACTCAGATTGAGGGTGAGTCTGTCTGTCCCAGTCCACTGACTCAAATGTTAATCTCCTTTGGCAACACCCTCACACACATACCCAGAAACAATACTTTGCATCCTTCAGTCCAATCAAGTTGACACTCAGTATTAATTGTCACTGGGACTGTGTTTCATGATGCTACTCAGCATGGTGTAAAATTGAACACTTATGAATTATTTCAGAAATTTTCCATTTAATATTTTCAGACAACAGTTGACTGTGGGTAACTGAAACTGCAGAAAATGAAACCACAGATAACGGGACTACTGTATGTAATACGTAAGGTCATAATCATGCCTTCCTTAATCTATAGGACAAGTGAGAGGCAGCTTGGTGATGTGGTGTGTGAGGCTTAGGTAAGACCCATCCTTTAATGTCTATCTTACATGTCTACCGTCAATGTCAGAAATCCATTCAGTATATCATTTCTCTAGGCATATAGTGAATGAATTAATAATTGCATTCATTAAACTAACATTATACGTCTTTTCCTGCACAAGGTACTGGTAAAGAAAGTGGGGAGATAGAGAAGGGAGAGAGAAAAATGGCCTAAGGGCTGTGGTGTGTGCTTGTAGTCCCCGCTACTTGGGGAGCTGAGGCAGGAAGATTGCTTGAGCCCAGGAGTTTGAGTCTAGCCTGGGCAACTTAGTGAGACCCATCTCGAAAAAAAAAAAGGAAAAAAATTTTAAAAAGTACAGCTTCTATGTAAGAAAACAAAAACTACATAGGAGAAGTGAGTTCTAGCTTTTTATACCACTGTAGGATAATTGTAGTTAAGAATACACAGTTTCAAATAGCTAGAAGGAGGATATTGAATGTTCTCAACACAAGGAAGTGATAAATGTTTGAGATGATATGCTGATTACCCAGATCTGATCACTATAGATTGTATGTATCAGGACATCACTATGTGCTCTTTAAATATATACAATTATGCATCAATTAAATAAAATAGAAAAAGTAAAATATTTAAGATGCAGTTTCTTCCCTCATGAAATTAGCGATTCAGTATATACATAGTCGTAAGAGGATGAAAAAAATTAGGGCGAAATAGTAGGTGTGGGTAGAATGCAGAGGGCTTTATGGAGAGAATCTTGGAATGTCGGTTTTGAAGGGCAGATTGCAGCCAGATAATGAAAAGTCTTAACACGCCCTATCAGCCAGAGCCTGGTTAGGGAGCGAGGACCCACACTAGGTGTTTCAAAGAGGGACTTTTATATGGGGGGTTGATCTCATAGGCATTGCCATGAAAGGGCCAGAAGAGAACACCAAGGTAACCCTGACAGCTGCAGGTGCCACCTTGAGGGCTGGGAGAACAAGGGGAGAGATGGGGTTTTCAGCTCCTGGAACTTGGAGAGAGGGCTTTATAGAGGCGGGACTCAGGCTTCCAAAAAGGGGTCTGACCCAGCTGCTTCTAGGACTCTTAGGAACTCAGCTAGGCTGTTTCTGCGAGCATAGAAAGAAAGTGGAAGCTGGAACCTTCGGTCACTGCTGGAGTAAAGTGCCCATGCAGGGGTGATGCTGACAGGAAGCAAAGAGAAGGGAGGAACCTCTTTCTCCACCCACTTGATTTAGAGTTTCCTTCTAGTGTCTTCTAGTTACTTGGCAGAACCTAATGGAGGCAGCTGGCAAGGGGGCCTGGGAAGTGTGGTATACAGAGCCACAGCCCAGTGTCACAGAAGGGTTTACAAGGGTGCATTTGGAGCTGAGAGCCAATAGCAAAGTAACCAGGCTCCTGGTGATAGGAAAGCTTGAGAAACCTATTTTGTAGGAAATGGGATTTATCAGCTGTTTTAAGCAAGGGTGAGCCATGAGCTTGGCACAGATGCAGAGGTCACTTTGGTTGAGGGATGAGACCCTAAGGTAGGGAGGCTAGTTAGGAAGCCATGGCAGGTTGCATTTTCCAGCACCCACTATCTCCCATCCCGTCCATTCTTCTTCCATTGTAACTTTGTCACTTCTCCAATTGAAAGGTGACATCTATTCTCCCTCCCCTTGAATTGGGCAGATTTATGACTAGAGTGGAAGAGATGCTGTGGGGCTTACGTGATTCGGCAGTGAAAGGCTCTATACCTTTTTCTGAGTGTTCCTTAAGTTTCTCACTTTCAGAACCAGCCACTGAGCTGGGAGGAAGCCGAAGTAGCCATAGAAAAGACTAGGTCTGGTGTTCCATCTGATAGCCAGGGTCAATCTTCAATAAAAATTAAAAAAAAATTAATATAGCACATAATGAGTTTACTTCTGGATGGGTGGTATTATGAGGTGTATGTGATGGGAATTCTGTTAAGTGTTTGGGGACACGGGTCTGGAGCTCAATGGAGAGGCAAGGTGTGAATATGGGGGTCATCGTGGACAGAAGTCAAATGAGCTCTCCTTGGAAAGAAGAGTAGAATGAGGAGAAAGGGAGTAAGGACAGAACTGTGGGGGAATCTGACATTGAAAAAGGCAAGGGAGAAGCAGAGAATTAAGAGGAGAACCAGAAAGTTATCTTGCTGAAATCACTGATGAAGAGAATTTCAGAAAGGATGGAGTTGTGGTGCCAAATTCTGCAAACAAGTGGCTAGAAGAACTGGAAAGAGGTCATGTGTTAGCTTCCCAGGGCTGCTGTAAAAAGTACCACAAAATGGGTGGCTTAGAGCAACAATAATTTGTTTTCTCATCGATATGGAGGCTAGAAGTCTGCAATCAAAGTGTTGGCAGGGCCTTGTTCCCTCTGAAGGCTCTTAGGAAGAATTTGTCCTTGCCTCCCTAGCTTCTGGTGGTGACATCAGACCTTGGTGTTCCTTGGCTTGTAGATGCGTCACTCCAGTCACTGCCTCCATTGTCCATGGTGGTCTCCCTGTGTGTTTTGCAGTCTCTTCTTTTTTTATAAAAACACCAGTCAGATTAGATTAGGGCCGCCCTGATGACCTCATATTAACTTGATGACATCTGCAAAGACCCTAATTCCAGATAACCTCAAGTTCACAGGCTTGGGGTGGATGTTAATGTTTGGGAGACACTCTTTAGCCCAGTACAGGCCGTCTTTGGAGATGGTTACGGAGAGAGTGGTCTCCATGAGTGGTGTGGGCAGATGTAGGTAGCATTGATGAGAGGGGTAAGAGATGGAGCACATGGACAGCTCTTTGAAGCACCTGGCCAGGGGAGAGGAGAGTGGAGGTGGCGTGCTAGAGAGACAGGTAGAGGTTTTTCTTTTTTTCCTTCTGGATGGGAGCAACTGGGGCAAGTTTATAGGCTGGGGCAAGCATCCAGTTGACAGAGAAAGAATCACGGTTTGAGTTAGGAGAACGACAGTAGGTGGAGCCGGGTCTGGCAGAGGAAGGATATTGTGGGATCCCACTCAAGGTTGGAGTTCATGCAGAAGGAGGAGGACCCACAGCCCTGGATGGAGACGTCAGCCTGAGTGCCATGCAGCCACAGACCCAGGAGCAGATGGAGCCGGACGGGCTGCAGTCATAAAGGAGCTGCCCTTTTTTGCTTCTCCATGGTCTAGGTCTGTTTCATTGTTCTCTTATTTTTGAAGGTAGCTATGAAAACATATTCCTGCCATCTGGCTCTTCAAAGGCATTGTAGGTTGCTGGCTTGCTCCAGAGGCCACGATGAAGCAGTCAGTACCACCTCCAGGGCTGGGGTCAGCTCTGCTAACAATAGGCACCCCCGGTTCCTGTGGGAGGCACTTCCCTGCACACAGAGAAGAATTGGGGAAAAAGATGGAGAGGACAAGGCTGAGGCCCCACAACACCGTGAAATGAGTTGACTAATGTCAGGCCCAGAGCTTTGTTTATTTTGGGGAGGGGTCGTGAATTCAGAGTCCTTTTGAGAGGGAGTGGAGGAATTTCACATGAGTAACCATTGGCATGGATCATTTCTGTGCTCTGAGCCCCCTGAGGTTTCCCATGAAGCACGATTTCTGTTGATTTTTCTTTCAGGATGGTGGCGTTGGAGGGTTCTGAGGGAGTCAGTTTTCTCAAGCCTTCTGAATTCTGAACTTGTGGAAAAAGATACAGAGAATTCAGAGAGGTGTCAAATTTGCTCTTGGCTGGAAAAACTGGATCCAACGGCTTGTTTGTGAAGCCCAAATGAGCGCCCTACTCCCTTTCTCCTGAGTTGAACTTCCCGGCTGAGCCTGTGGGCCCAGCAGATGGGCAGGGCCTGCTCTTCAGGGTGATGTGGCCCGAGGGGACAGGCAGCTCGAGAGAAAGCCTAGGAGAGCCGCTTCCCCAACTCCCAGAGGAATGAGACCATGGTTGTGGGATGCGTATTGTCCCATCTCGTGCGAATCTTCTTTACTGTCCTCAGGAAAAGCCGACAAGAGATGAGAAAAGGCTGCTGCTTCTTCCTCCACCCTCCTGAGAGGGCGACAGTGTTGGTGGACATTCTGATCTCCTGGGCTGGCAGGGAGGTAGGAGAGGGTGCTCTCCTTGCAAACACTTAGTGAGTACACGTCATGAGATAGTTTCCATGGGGCAGCTTATTGCTCTAGATAATATCAGTGACCTGTGCAAGACTTCATCTTCTTGGGAGAAAGTACAACAGAGAGGGAGAACCCCTGGGGTGCAGAGCCAGACAGCTGCTTTCCTTTTCTGGGTTTGCTGTATCATGGGCAGTGGGGTCTTCGGCCATTTCCTCAAACCTCCCTGGGGCCACAGATCCACAGTCTTTAAAACAAAGGTGAGAGAACCTTGTTTAGGAAACATATATGACTAAAGGCTCACTAGGTTAAGCAGGACAGGCTGAAAAACTGACAGTGGTTCTGCAAACTGAGCAGAGATTGGGCTGCTGAGGGCCTGTGGCTCAGTGCCCTCTGCAGTGGATACAGCCGTGGGAGTGGTCCACTCTCCTGTGTGTGCTTCTTACAGGTGGGGGGAATAATTGCCCCAAACCCTCACTGCAGGGTGCTCGTATTTCCTTGATTCTCCTGACCCGTACTGGACTCAAATATTTTTCCCTTACACGTCCCAGATTTTAGTCTGGGAAATATCTTAATGATTTCTATAGCCAAAGGTAAGGTGAGCTTATGGTAAGAATAGGGATTTCTTAGGAGAAGAGGCTGCCTTGGAGAGTCTCCCTACTCCTGGAGAATTAATTAGCTGAAGCCCATCTCCTCACTCTTCTGTGAATACATAGTGTTTATCCGCTCCTGTCTGTGAGCTCATGTTGATTTCTTTGTCTGAAGTGGCTTCCTTCCTCTCCACTTGTCTCCTCCCAGCCTGACATTACAAGTGCACATTCTGCCTCACCCACAAAGTTGCACTTGATGATTCCAGCACTCCACGATAGCTCCTCTACTTCTCCAATCTCCTAAAGCACTTATAATCTGTACCGTGTAATTTAGAAATTCATTATATCCCGTCTTATTTCATTCTCTAAGTGTTCATTGTGTTAGTCTTGTCTTTTGTTGAATATAACATTTTTTGAGAGCAAGGTCTGTCTTCCCCAGTGTGTGGACTTCTTGTGTTTCCACAGCTGGGATCTACTTCCCAACCTTGAGGAGCATATAATCTGGTAGAGGGTGAACCTATGAATTTATCACTTGACCGAATATGGTAAAACTGTTAGGCAATTGTGAGCCATCCACCATGGGAATTTGGGAGGAAGGAGACTGACTTTAGGCTGGGGGGGTTAGGTCCATACCTCCTCAGAGAGGAAAACAGCAGTGCAGTGGTGGCAATAGTGCTGACTTTTAAAGGCTGAGAGGGATGTTGAGTGAGAAAAAGAAGTTATTCTATGGAGAAGAAATGGCATGTGTAAAGATCTGGGGCATATATTTGGAGAATAGTGAGTAATGTATGTTGGCTGCTGAATAGTTTACATTTGGTAGGAGGTAGGGCTGGATATGATCAGAGCTGCACTTTGGGAAATTAGTATGACATGAGGTTTAGAACATCCTGGAGGTAGAGATACTACTTACAAAGCAACTACAACAGCCCAGGTAAGAGAGAGAATGGCTTAAAGTAGGTGGTAGAAGTGAAAATAGAAAGGGACAAATGGTAGCCATTTTCGAAAGCGGAGTTGAGAAAATGATAAGTTCAGTGTGCAGTGGAAGCCGAGAGGAGTTTCAAGAAGGGCAGAGGGGTGGGGTGGGGGGAGGTAAGTGAACTGTGTCTATTGCTGCAGAAAGGGTAAGAAATTTGCATCTGGTTGTTAGTTGTTAGGTGGTTAGTAGCAGGTCATACCTTGGTGGAACCATATGCAGATATGAACACAAAGAAGGTGATAACAATTTCCACTTGACCTTTGGAGTGCTCATCTCATCTCATTTGCTGTGAAATTTCATGTCATAATTGTTATTTGATGTGTGAGAAGTGACTTCTGTAATTAGTGTCTTAAAGTATCATCTTTTTATGTCTCACAATTTTGTGGATCAGGAATTTGGGCAGGCACTGGCCCACGATTATTCTGCTTCACATAGAGTTTGACAGGGATCACTTTGTGGTCATTGGCAAGTGGGCTGGTCCAGAGGGTTCAAGATGGCTTTACGCATGCCCTTGCAGCTGTGGAAGAGTCTCCTGGGAGGCTGAGCTCGTGTGGGCCCCTCCCCTTCTCAGTACACACCAATTCCCTGGAGCCACACAGAACTTTCTTTAACTTTAGCTCTTTGGGAGGCTGTCTGGAGCCATGGAAGCCATCTTTTTAGTAGAGAAGCTCTTTGAGGCATGCCTTGAACGTCCCTTGCAGGACTTTCGTCTGTCTGAAATGACCTGTGAGACACCACCTTAGACCTTCTGAAGACCTAACAAAGAATCTTGCAGTAACATCTTGGGTTTGATCTTTGCCGTGGAACCAGTTTTTCCTTTGAGAATCTTTTGCTGGGAGAGACTAAGGATAAGAAAGTTTTATTTTCAAACCTAGCAAGTCCTGGCTCCTTTATATTTCTTCTACATTCTGTTTATAAAAACTAACAGTTCCTTTTTTGGTTCATCTTTGTTTTGAATTTTATCATTGACAACCAGGAGATGAGTTCTGTATGCCACCTGGGAAGCTCCTAGGCCTAATTCATGAATTCATAGCTGTACCTTCTGTTTTCCATGTTCGTCAAGGGATGGGTTCATTGAACTGTTTGCCATCACATAACATGGGCTATCTCTACTCCAGTCTCTAATAACAATTTCTCACTGTCCCTCCTTCCCCATTAACAGATGTCTTGAGGCCTTCCAGACCTTGCTCCACCTCCACCACCAGGTCTCCAGTCCTGAGCCACATGCTGCCATTTTTGTCTCAGAAGCACCCCTCTTCCAGGTAACAAGTGTTTTTTTTTCTGGTAACCTATTGCTGCATAACTACCCCAAAAGTCAGTGACTGAAAGCACATGCAATTTGACTATGTTTTGTCATTTGGGAAGTGAGGAATTTGAACAAGAGTTCATGTTGTATTAACTGAGGTCACCTAGTGCTGGGGACTGAACATTTGTGTCCCCTCAAAATTCATACCTTTGAAATCCTCACTGCCAATGTGATGGTGTTAGGAGGTGGGGTATTTGGGAGGTGATTAGGTCATGGGGATGGAGCCCTCATGAATAGGATTACTTCCTTATAAGGAGAGACACAAGTGCTAGCTCTCCCTTTCTGCTTTCTGCCCCTGCGACGATACAATGAGAAGGTACCCATCTGCAAACCAGGAAGTGAGTCCTTACCAGACACCAAATCTGCTGGTGCTTGGATCTTGGACTTCCCAGCTCCCAGAACTGTGAGAAATAAATGTTTGTTGGTTAAGCCAACCTGTCTGTGGTCTTCTGTTTTAGCAGCATGAATGGGCTCAGACACCTGAAATTTTTCTGCTAGTAGCTGGGCTGGCCTGGGGGTTCAAGAAGGCTTCTGTCAGAGGCCCAGCACTCTGGTAGGGATAGGAAGCCTGGGCTCAGCTGATACCTCAGCTTCCCCATGTCATCTCAGGGCCTCCCCATAGCCTCTAAGGCGGGACTGTCAGATCTCTTACCTGGCAGCACAGGGCTCCAGGAGACCAAGGTGGAAGCTGCCTGTCCTTTTGAAGCCTGTGGACTGGCCTGCAGTCACTTCACCATACCCTGTTAGTCAAAGCTGAATAGTCACAGAGGAAGTCCATAAAATGCACTCTAACTAGACTACAAAGCCCCCTCTCAGCTGTCATTTCTCTAGGATAATCAACCTCTGTGCTTCACTCAGTGAGTTAAGAGCAATTTACAAAATGCCTGCTATGTGTTAAACACTGACAAAATATATATTTGCTGATAATTTTTATGATTGGTCAACTTGAATGATGAGTTATATAGAAGACTAAAGAGATTAGTCTCCTTCTCTTTTGTCCCTCAAAAGCTTAAACTTACTATATCACTACCTAGAAAAATGCCTACACCCAGCAGTCTGTATCTTGTCAATTTTTTCTTTCTTTCTTTTTTTTTTTGAGACAGATTCTCACTCTGTCGCCCAGGCTGGAGTGCGGTGGTGCACTCTCGACTCACTGCAACCTCTGCCTCCTGGAGTGATTCTCATGCCTCAGCTTCCCGAGTAGCTGAGAACCATGCCTGGATAATTTCTGTATTTTTAGTAGAGGCGGGGTTTCACCATATTGGCTAGGTTGGTCTCGAACTCCTGGCCTCAAGTGATCCACCTGCCTCAGCCTCCCCAAGTGTGGGGATGACAGGCGTGAGCCACCGCACCTGGCCAGCAATTTTTTCTTTCTCTCGTGTCTTTATAATATTTAAAGTACCAGTCAAAAGTACCTGGTAAACATAGTGATGAGTAATTGGGATATAATTACTGGGCCTCAGACTAGCCCAGAATTCCTGTGGGAGGGGAAATAGTTTCCCCTTAATAGGGAAGCGCATCAAAGAACACGTGGCCATCTTTAATCTATAGGAGCTCATCATTCAAGTTGATCAGTCATAAAAATTATCAGCAAGTTCATTTTGCCAGTGTTTAGCACATAGAAGGCATTTTGTAAGTACCTCTGAACTTACCAAGTGAAGCACACGAATGGATTCTCCAAGAGCAATGACAGAGCTTAGAGGGGGCTTTGTAGTCTAGTTAGAATCATGGCATTTTATGGACTTCCTCTGTGAATTTGTGTAACTCTCCCAATCTCACTCGGCCTCAGTTTTATTTGTAAAACGTAATAAATATTCCATTATGTATCATGTAAAATGATTCTATTATGTACCACATAAAAATCTTCAACAAAATAGAGACTGTGTAGACTGTAAATGTTTAATATTTAATATATCTGTAGTGATTAAGCGAAGAGCTTTGATCTTAGCTCCACCACTGACTTGCACGTGTCACCTTGGTCAGTCCACTCTTTAGTCCCTTTGAGCCCCGTTTCCGTTGACTGGAATATTGGTGTTGCGGTTCCTCTTTCATGTAGTACATGAAGCACAGTAGACTCAGTGCGTGGTGCTGTTATTTTTGTTGTAGTTGTTACTATTTTGTGCTCTGAGACTAGAACTCGAGGCTAAAATTTGCATGCACCACACTTTGGATTTGCGTGGGTGAGTCAGTGCTGTCCTAAGTGGGGGGTCATCCATTAGAGGCATTCTGCTGTGGCAGGAGCAGCTTCAGAAACACGGCAGGCTAAGGACAATAGTTAGAAAATGTTATCCCAAATCAAGTCTGTTTGCTGCCATGTGTCAGCAAATCTCACGATGAAAAATACCCACATTTAAACATGATTTCTTCCATAGTCATTTGATTTCTAATGAGACAGCTTGTTACTATCTGTTAAGCACTGGATTTTGCAGTTATGTCAGAAGTCCATGTCAGTGACATTAGTTAATCCTCAGTGGATTTGCCTTTAGTAATCAATTGGCATTTAATTAACATGCAAAAACTTCCCTGTGAAACCTAAATTCAATGTGTAGTAAGTCTCTTTGAGATAAGTTAGGGATGTTGTCAGGACATTTCATAGAGCATAGGCCTCCATGCTCTTATTATTAACTTGAATTCCAGAGTTTTGAATATGCACATGAAGACACCAAGTGAGGACTTCGGCGAAGGGCGTAGAGGTATTTTGGTGTGATCCTTAATGTCAGAGTCTCATCTCCCACGTGTCCTTCTCTTATTAATTCTCAAAACACTGAGCTAAGCAGCCAGTTCTCAAAGTGGGCCCTAAGCTAGCAGCATCTATAGCACCTGTTAGAACTGCAGGCTCTTGGGCCCCTCCCAGACCCAGTGAGTCAGACACTCTGGCGGTGCCCCACACCAGTCTGGATGTTCACAAGCCTCCAGGCGAGTCTGATCCTTGCAGTTTAAGACCAAGGAACTAGGGTCTGGTATCAGGATAGGGGATCCAATGAATACAAACCATCTCTCAGAAGCTTAAATTCATTAAGCACCACCTAGAAAAATGTCTACACCCAGAAAGCTGGATCTATTTTTTTCTTTTGTGTCTTTATTATATTTAAAGTATCAGTCAA